>NC_000009.12:35313030-35464545 GCF_000001405.40 Homo sapiens | reverse complement strand
CATGCACTTTGCTCATTTGTCTCACAAATACACTCCTAGTTAACAGATCATGATTTAGAAGGCATTGTCACTGGGAGTTCTGGTCACTGGGGAGAGAGAAGGGATCTAACCCCCAGCTCAGCGGTGGGCTCATCAGGAAGGAGCTTTGCTAAACGTGCTTCCTGTGTCTGCCAGATTTTCTTCTAAGAGGCATTTCCAAAAAATGGGGGAAAATGAAGTGTTTAAATCAGGAAGGATTTCTGGTTCAGTTTACTTCAAGAAATGGAAGTGTTTTACATATGACTAATTGACAATGTCCTGGCACAAATACCACAGAAACAAAACTGCTGAGCTGATAAGAACCTAGCTAATTCAAGAACATTTCTTCATTTAATAATTCAATAGAGATTTACTAAGCACTACTTTGTGCAAGGCACTTCCAAAAATATGAAGATGAATATGGTGTAATTTCTACTGTAGAGGCTCATAATCTGTTGGCTAAGACGTTCATTCATTTTTTTCACTCACTCAACAAATAATAATGAAGCTCCCATTATATGTCAAGGATCGTTCCAGGGACTTAGGGACACAGTGGTGAAAAAAGACAACATCCTTGTGGAGAGAGGTAGACAACAAACAAGAAATGAAAAAAATACCATTTAGTGATAAATGCTGTGAGGAAAATAAAACAGGTTAATAGAATAGAGGGTCTTGATGGGGGTGTTAGAGACCTTTTATCTGAAAAGGTAGCATTAAATGATGAAAAAGAAGCAAGCCATGCAAAGACTTGGGGGCAGACATTGCCAGCAAGGGTAAAGGTCCTAGGGTAGGAACAAGTTTGCTCTCTTACTTGACTTGCAGTTTTCCTGGGTACAGATTTCTAGGTCAAAATATTTTTCACTAAGAACTTTGAAGGTATGACCCTACTGGTTTCTAGGACCCAATGGTGCTTTTGAGAAATCCGATACCAATCTGCTTCCCATTTTTGTTAATATCTTATTTTTATCTCTATAAGAATTTTAAAGGGATTTCTCTTCTCTGTAACTAAACCTTTCTAGTTTGATCCTCTGTTTAAAAACAAATTATTTCTCTAATATTTTCTGTCTCTGTGTCTTTTTGTTTTATGGTCCAGGAGAGATTTTAATCCTTTAATGGGTTTTAAAAAAATATTAGCAATCCCATTTTTGATTTCCCAAATTCTATTTTGTTGTTGTTCTTAGATATTTTTCTTCTTTCCCCCTTTTAAAGCAACCTATTCTTATTTTATATATGTAATTGTTTCTTTTCTCTGAGACTAGTCATAAAAATGTTTTAAAGTTCTTTTCTTTTCTCTTCCCTGAAATATAATTTGTTTATTCTAGGTTCAGGTATTTTTTTTTAAGATGGGATATTGCTAAGTTGCCCAGGGTAGAGTGCAGTGGCTGTTCTCAGGTGCAGTAATGGTGCACTATAGCCTTGAACTCATGGGCTCAAGTGATCCTCTTGCCTTAGCCTCCTAAGTAGCTGGGAACCACACCCAGCTTCCAGGGTCAGTTATTCTATTTGTTCATCCTCATCCACCTTTTTATGCTACTTGTTTCCCTCTAGTCCACTTAAAAATATAAGTAAAATAATAGTTTGATTATTATAGGTTGCTGGAGTAGATTTCATTTCTTTTGGTTAATTTTGTTTTCCTAACAGGCCACTCCCTTGAATGGGAAACCATGAGTTCTCTGTTGGTAGAAAGAATACGTTTTTTAACAAATTTCACCCTAGGATGTACAAGAAACTTGCAGGCAAACTCAAGCCCCCCAAATTTAAAATTAAGTGGGTTTTACTCTAAGTGCTGACACTCAGATTTACAAGCCTTAGTTCTCTGCAGGTAGGTTGTTAAATTTCTTTCAAAAGCAGTTCTTTTGTTTGGGACTGGTTATTAATCCTTTGTCAGATGGACAGTTTGCAGATATTTTCTCCCATTCTGTGGGTTGTCTCTTCACTTTGCTAATTGTTTCTTTTGCTGTGCAGAAGATTTTAAACTTAATGTGATCCCATTTTGTCAATTTTTGCTTTGGTTGCCTGTGTGCTGGGATTATAATGAGCTCAAATAACTCTACAGGAAAAAACCTAATAGTCCAATTTAACAACGGACAAAAGATCTGAATAGATACTTCTCAAAAGAAGACATACAGATGGCAAACAGGTATATGACAAGGTGCTCAACATCACTGATCATCAGAGAAATGCAAATCAAAACTACAATGAAGCCAGGTATGGTGGCTGATTTCTTATTGCTCAACGTCCTTTTCTTTCTAGTTTAAGGACTCTCTTCAGCATTTTTTTGTAGGACAAGTGTGATGTTAATGAAACTGCTCAACTTTTGTTTGTCTGGAAAAATCTTTCTTTTTCCTTCATGTTTGAAAGATATTTTTACTAGATATACTAGTCTAGGTAAAGTTTTTTCCCCTTCAGCATTTTAAATATGTCATGCCACTCTCTCCTGTTAGATATGAGTTCTAAATTTCTTTTCAGAGAATTAATATGTCAGTATATTCAGTTATTTGCCTTCTACTTTTAAACTTAACTTCCTCATAAAGCAACCTTTTTCGATTACCTACTCCACCCTGACTCATTCTGATCACCTGCTCCACCCGAAATCATTCCAATTACCTGCTACCTGCTCTTCTGCCCTGACTCCTGCCAAAGCACTCACCCCATCATTCTCTTTAAATTAGCCAATCGGAATTAGTTTAACCTGTGTGGTCTAACCCTAGCCAATAGGGGAATGACACAGCAGCAGGGACCACGTACACCAGGGATAAGAACCCCTTCCCCTCCCTTGTCCAAGTGTGCATTCACCATTGTTCCATCTGTAAGGGCACACCCTTCTATATAGAAGTAACTTGCCTTGCTGAGAATTAAAAAGAAAATTTTATATTTGAATGCTATTTCTTTTGTGGCACCAAAACTTTATATATAACAATTTGGGGGGCTCGTCCAGGATTACATTCCCCTCCAGGACTGTCTCTGGTTCTCTCTCGTGAGGAGGTGCACCCGGCCCTATTGTGGCGGCCTCAGGGGTGAGAAATCAAGACCCACCCAGTGTGAGGAATAACCTGAGCTCTTAACAACACGAGGGGTCAGGGAGAGGGGGTACTGGCCAGCAACCTAGCTTAAATGATCCTCACATACTGCAGTGATGACTCTGCACAGACCAAGGAAGGAGATGCCATGGGAGCCCGTAAAGTACTTCCTTGGTGGTCAAATTCTGGAGGGCTAAATGTGTGTGTGTGTGAATGATCACCAACAACCCTGCTTGTGGTGTTATTCATGTGGATGGTGACAAGTCCTACTGCTCGACGGAGTGAGTGGGTCCTCTCTGCAGTTCCACAGCTACCTCATATGGCTTAGGGCGGATCCTGCCATAGGATTTATACTGGCATGCCAACACTAAGAAGGGCCTGATTCTACCTTGGGGGAGCAGCCAGAGAGGGCAGCATGAGTAGGAAGTGTGCAAAGGACCTTCAGAGGGGGAAAAGGGGAGAAACAGATCAACCTTCCAGGACAGGCAAGACACCCCTGGTTTGAGGGGTTGAGCCTTCCAGGACAGGCAAGACACCCCCTAGTTTGAGGGGTTGAGCCTTCCAGGGCAAACAAGGCAAGATGCCCCCTGGTTTGAGGGGTTGAGCCTTCCAGGACAGGCAAGACACCCCCTGGCTTGAGGGGTTGAGCCTTCCAGGACGGGCAAGGTGAGACATCCCTGGTGTTGAGGGGTTGAGCCTTCTGCTAATTTCAAGGGTTGAACCTGACACAACCCCCCCGCTGCCCTTTCCTTTCTTCTTGGGGGAAGAGAGAGTAGTTCCACTCCCGTAGGTCCCTACCCTAGGGGAAGAGAGAGAGAGACAGAGAGAGACAGACAGAGAGGAGAGCGAGATAGAGACAGAGAGGAGAGAGGGAAAGAGAGGCAGAGACAGAGAGAGAGGGAAAGACGCGGTGGGGGGGAAGAGAGGCAGAGAGAGACAGAGAGGGGATAGAGGCAGAGAGAGACAGAGAGGGGAAAGAGGCAGAGAGAGAGGGGAAAGAGAGGTGTGTGGGGGGGAAGAGGCAGAGAGAGACAGAGAGGGGAAAGAGGGAGAGAGAGAGGGGAAAGAGAGGTGTGTGGGGGGGGGAAGAGGCAGAGAGAGAGAGGGGAAAGAGAGGCAGAGAGAGAGGGGAAAGAGGCAGAGAGACAAAGAGGGAGTCAAAGAGAGAAAGAGAGAAAGTCAAAGAGAAAGAAAGAGAAAAATAGAAGTAGTAAAGAAAAAAACAGTGTACCCTATTCCTTTAAAAGCCAGGGTAAATTTAAAACCTATAGTTGATAATTGAAGGTCTTCTCTGTGACCCTATAACACTCCAATACCACCTCTTTGTCAGTGTAAACAAGGGTGTAGCCCGAAAGCACTGAGGCCACTGACAATCTGTAGCCTTCCTATCAAAAATCCTTAACCCAGTAACCAGCAGATGGCCCAAATGCACTCAATCTATAGCGGCAACTGCTTTACTAACAGAAGAAAGTAGAAAAATAACTTTTAGAGGAAACCTCATTGTGAGCACACCTCACCAGTTCAGAACTATCCTAAGTCAAAAAGCAAAAAGGTAGCTTACTAAAAAATCTTAAAGTATAGGGCTATTCTGTTAGAAAAAGATGATTTATCATTAACCACTGAAAATTCCCTTAACCCAGCAGGTTTCCTAACTGGGGATTTAAATCTTAATTACCATACAAAGGTCCGACCAGACCTAGGAGGAACCCTCTTCAGGACAGGACGATAGATGGTTCCTCCCGGTTGATTGAGGGGAAAAAAAAAAAAACAAACGACAGTGGGTATTCAGTAATTGATAGGGAAACTCTTGTAGAAGCAGAGTTAGGAAAATTTCCTAATAACTGGTCTGCTCAAACCTGCAAGCTGTTTGCACTCAGCCAAGCCTTGACGTACTCACAGACCAGGAAGGAACCATCTATACCAATTCTAAGTTAATTTAGACTAAACAAGGTCTTATTAACAGCAAAGGATAATTGAAATCCCAAACTTAGAAGGTTTTCGACAAAAGTAAAGTTTGCTAAAAGTTATCAATATAACACGTATTATCCTAACTTCTAATCTTATGGCCTTAGGCAGTCTAGTCCACAGACATGAAGCAAGTTCGCTTTAGAAAAGAATGGTTATCATCTTTAGGAAAATTTAAAAAGGAAAAAGAAAAAAAGAGGTGGGGGGAGAGTTTATGTAAAAAGAATGCTATACGGTAAATTCTTGTCCTAAAATAAATTAACTAATTGTTTTTTAAAAAAAAGGGATGTTTGCAACAAGTCACAAAGTTGAGCCGGGTGCGGTGGCTCACGCCTGTAATCCCAGCACTTTGGGAGGCTGAGGCGGGCGGATCACAAAGTCAGGAGATCGAGACCACCCTGGCTAACACGGTGAAACCCCGTCTCTACTAAAAATACAAAAAATTAGCCGGGCGTGGTGGCGGGCACCTGTAGTCCCAGCTACTTGGGAGGCTGAGGCAGGAGAATGGCGTGAACCCGGGAGGTGGAGCTTGCAGTGAGCAGAGATCGCGCCACTGCACTCCAGCCTGGGCGACGGAGCGAGATTCCATCTCAAAAAAAAAAAAAAAAAAGAAAGAAAGTTGAGGCATGTCGAAGAATTATCTGTGAAAGTTGTGTGAAAAAAAGGTTATAAAAGGAAATTTATGCAAGAAATGTTGTATAATTTAAAAGTAATTAGACCTCCTAAATGTAAAACTATTGAAGAAACAGTTTATGTGCAAGGTGTGTAAGGAAAGTAAAATATACTTTTGGTAACAAGATTATAAGGAGGCATAAGAATGTGAATTTTTACCTACATTAAAAGGTGAAAAATATATATATTTTGTTTTAAAGGTCTAAGCAAGTTTTAAAACGTTAATTGTAAAGGAAATTCTGTATGTAAACATATTAGCTAAAGTTAAAGAGGTAACCAGTTTTTCTGTGAACTAGACATTAAAATAAAAGCACAACAGGTTTTTCTAAAGCACTAACCTGCTCCTTAACAAAAATTATAAAAAAGGTTAAAAAGAGTCTATAAAATCTTACCTTATGGTCAGACATTAAAAACTGGATAAATATGTCTACAAGGTTTTATTAAAATTAAGTTTAACATTAATAACACACTAATATAAAGGTGAAATTTAGCTTATCTGGTATAAAAATCATACAGGAAGCATTGTTAAATATAAAATGGTGTTTGGCATTCTTTGGTCTAAAAACTAATAAAAATAGGTGCTAAAGGAAATTTCTCAGTAAGAAGGCACCAAAGACTATAAAGTCCACTGCTGATGTCCCCACGTTTAAAACAAAAGGTCAATTTCTTAGAAATTATATACTTGGTTTATCTTCCCTCAAAACTAAAAGTCTTTTAGCACAGGTACCACCCCTAGAATTTCCAGTAAACCAGCACCAGCCTGAAGATCACGTTCTCATCAAAAAGTGGAAAGAAGGAAAACTCGAGCCAGCATGGGAAGGACCCTACCTTGTGCTGCTAACCACCGAGACTGCTGTTCATACAGTGAAAAAGGGATGGACTCATCACACACGAGTCAAAGCGCCACTCCCTCCAGAGTCCTGGGCCACAATCCCAGGGGAAAACCCTACCAAACTAAAGCTAAGAAAAATTTAACTCTTTCATCTATTCCATTACTTTTTCTTCTTTCCTCGCTCTATTGCTGACCATCCAGTTATTAACATAACCAAGTCAATTTCACCTCAAACTACTGCATTTAATGCTTGCCTTGTTATACCTTGTGGGGACTTGCCAAGTCAAAGACAGCTCTCTACTTCAGAAAAGTACCTCTGTCCCTCCTGACTCTCCTCAGAATGGGCATTAGTAAATTGGGACCATTTAATCCAGGGAGATTTTGATAAAGACCCCAGTGTCAACCATGAGTCTTGCCCCCCGATGTAGAGCTTTTATGCCGTAGTTGGTCCAACGTTCTGTGGACCACTAAAGAGCAAGGATAGACTGCCCCAACCAGTTTTTATAATTTCCTAAAACGATACATTCATTTTACTAAAGGGACAGCCCCCCTAACTGTCAGCTAAACCAGTGCAACCCTATACAGGCTATTATTTCAAGCCCCCAAAGTTCTCCCCTTTTCTAAGCCGGTTCCCTTGTTTAAGCCAGTTTTATGGTATGGGGGCTGAGGTTTCAGGGACAGACCCTATTGGATTCTTTAAAATGCATTTCCTTGATCCCCTGCCGCCTACATCTGCCTCTAAGCCTTTTTCCAAAACCTCTCACAATGGAACCATTGATCCTCCTCCATCTAGTGACAAGGCCAAGATAGTGATGGTAGAAGTTAAAGACTTAAAACAAACTTTGGCAATTGAGACAGGATACTAAGGATGTAAATGCCTGGTTGAAATGGATCAACTATTCTGTCCGCACGTTAAACAAAAACAATTGTTAGGCTTGTGTGCACGGCAGGCCAGAGGCCCAGACTGTCCCCTTTCCACTAGGGTGGTCCTCCAGTCAACCAGGCATGGGCTGCATGGTAGCTCTTTTCCAAGATTCTACAGCCTGGGGTAACAAGTCATGCCAAGCTCTCACTCTGCTATATCCCGAACTCTGGCACCCTGCGGGTCAGCCCCCAAGGGCCATCCAGTTTCCATCTCCTAACACTAAGTTCCCTTCGTGTCTCTCATGACAGGGAGGAAACTTAGTGTTCCTTGGAGACCTGAAGGGAAGCAGTGAGCTTAAGAATTTTCAAGAGCTTATCAATCAGTCAGCCCTTGTTCATCCCCAAGTGGATGTGTGGTGGACCTTTACTGGACACTCTGCCAAATAACTGGAGTGGCACTTGTGCTTTAGTCCAGTTGGCTATCCCTTTCACCCTGGCATTTCATCAACCAGAAAAATTAGACATTGTAAAGCGAGAGAAGCCCATTATAGGTCTTTCAACTCTCACGTCTATTTAGACACAATTAAAGTCCCACGGGGAATACCAGATCAATTTAAAGCCCAAAATCAAATAGCTGCAGGATTTGAGTCAATATTTTGGTGGGTGACAATTAATAAAATGTAGATTGGATAAACTACATCTATTACAATCAACAGCGATTTATTAACTACATTAGAGATGCTGTTAAAGGAATAGCTGAGCAATTAGGGGCTAATAGCCAGGTGGCTTGGGAAAATAGGATAGCCTTAGACATGATATTAGCAGAAAGAAGAGGAGTTTGCGTCATGATTAAAACTCAGCGTTACACCTTCATCCCAAACACCACCACCCGTAATAAAAGTATAACAAAAGCATTGCAAGGTCTGACTGCTCTATCCAATGAGTTAGCCAGCAACTCAGGGGTAAATGACCCCTTTACAGGATGGCTAAAAAAAAGTTCGGTAGATGGAATGATAGCCTCAAGTCTTACTTCTCTCACAGCTGTAATAGGTGTATTTATTCTTGTCAGGTGCTGTGTCATACCATGCATCCTTAAGTAGATGCAGAGGCTCATAAAAATGGCACTTACTAAAACCTCCCTTAACTATCTTCCACCTTATCCAGAGAAGCTGCTTCTTTTAGAAAATCAAGCAAAACAACTAAGCCAAGACATGTTAAAAAAAAAGTTTGAAAAGAAAGCTGTAAGGAAATACAAGGGAAGGGATTATTAGAAATGAGTTTTAAATTTCTTTTCAAAGAATTAATATGTCCATATGTTCAATTCTTCTACTTTTAAACTTCCTCTTTAAGCAACCTTTTTCGATTATATACTCCACCCTGACTCATTCTGATCACCTGCTCCACCCTACATTCCAATCACCTGCTCCACCCTAACTCATTCCAATTACCTGCTACCTGCTACCTTCTCTGCCGTGACTCCCACCAAAGCACTCACCCCATCATTCTCTTTAGCCAATTGGAATTAGTTTAGCCTGTGCGGTCTAACCCTAGCCAATAGGGGAACAACACAGCAGCAGGGGCCACGTGAGCCAGGGATAAGAACCCCTTCCCCTCCCTTGTCCAAGTGTGCGCTCACCATTGTTCCATCTGTAAGGGCGCACCCTTCTATATAGAAGTAACTTGCCTTGCTGAGAATTAAAAAGAAAATTTTATATTTGAGTGCTATTTCTTTGTGGTACCAAAACTTTATATATAACACTCCTGACCTGTAATGTTTCCACTCAAAAGTCAGCTGCCTGAAGTACTGGAGCTCCATTGTATGTTATCTGTTTCTTTTCTCTTGCTGCTTTTAGAATCCTTTGTTTATCCTTGACCTTTGGGAGTTTGATTATTAAATGCCTGAGGTAGTCTTTTTTGGGTTAAATTTGTTTGGTGTTCTAAACCTTCTTATACTCAGATATTAATACCTTCTTCTACATTTGGGAAGTTCCCTGTTATCCCTTTGAATAAACTTTCTACCCATATCTCTTTCTGTATCTCCTGTTTAAGGCCAATAACTCTCAGATGTGCCTTTTTTTTTTTTTTTTTTTTTTTTTTTGAAACGGAGTCTCGCTCCGTCACCCAGGCTGGAGTGCCGTGGTGCGATCTCAGCTCACCGCAAACTCCACCTCCCGGGTTCACGCCATTCTCCTGCCTCAGCCTCCCAAATAGCTGGTACTACAGGCACCCGCCACCAAGCCCAGCTAATTTTTTGTATTTTTAGTAGAGACGGGGTTTCACCATGTTAGCCAGGATGGGCTCGAGCTCTTGACCTCGTGATCTGCCCACTTCGGCCTCCCAAAGTGCTGGGATTACAAGCGTGAGCCACTGCACCTGGCCAGATTTGCCCTTTTAAGGTTATTTTCTAGACCTTGTATGAATGCTTCATTTTTTTTTCTTTTGTCTTCTCTGGGTATCTTCAAATAGCCTGTCTTCAAGCTCACTAATTCTTTCTTCTGCTTGATCAATTCTGCTATTAAAATACTCTGATGCATTCTTCAATATGTCAATTATATTTTTCAACTCTAGAATTTCTGTTTAATTCTTTTTAACTATTTCAGCCTCTTTGTTAAATTTATGTGATATAATTCTGAATTCCTTCCTGTTATCTTGAATTTCTTTGCGTTTCTTCAAAACAGCTATTTTGAATTATCTGTCTGAAAGGTGACATATCTCAGTTTCTCCATGATTGGTCCCTGGTGCCTTATTTAGTTTGTTTGGTGAGGTCATGTTTTCCTGAATGGTCTTGATGCTTATGGATGTTTGTTGGTGTCTGGGCATTGAAGAGTTAGTTATTAATTGTTTGTATAGTCTTTGCAGCCTGGGCTTCTTTTTACCTATCTTTCTTGGGAAGGCTTTACAGGTATGTGAAAGGACTTGGGTGTTGTGATCTAAGCCATATCTGCATTAGAGGGCACCCAGAGCCCAATAATGCTGCAGTTCTTGCAGACTCATAGAAGTATCACCTTGGTGGTCTTGAATAAATCTGGAAGAATTCTCTGGATTACCAGGCAGAAACTCTTGTTCTCTTTCCTTTCTCCCTAACAGATTTAGTCTATCTCTGTGCCAAGCCACCTAGAGCTGTGTGTGGGGTGACACAAGCAACTCTGAGGCTACCACCACTGGGACTGTGCTGAGTCACACCTGAAGTCAGCACAGCACTGGGTCTCATCCAAGGCCCGCTGTGACCACTACCTGGCAACTGCCTATGTTCACTTCAAGCCCCAGGGTTCCACAATCAGCAGATGGTGAAGCCAGCCAGGCTTATGTCCTTTCCTTTAGTGCAGCAAATTTCCTCAGCCCCTGGGGTGTCCGGAGATGCAGCCTGGGAGCCAGGGACTGAAGTCAAAAACCTTAGAAGTCTACCTGGTACTGTATTCTACTATGGCTGAGCTGACCCTTAAACCATAAGACAAAGTCCTTCCCACTCTTCCCTCCCATTTCCACAGGCAAAGGAGCCAGTGCCCATGGCCACCATCAAAGACCTATAGAGGGTACTGCCAGGCTACCACCAATGTTCACTTAAGGCCCAAGGGCTTAATCAGCTTGTGTTGAATACTGTCAGTCATGGGACTCACCCTTCAGGGAAGTGGGCTCCCATCTGGCTCAAGGCAGGTCCAGAAATGCCATCCAAGAGCCAAGGCTGGAATCAGGGGCACCAAGGACCCACGTGATGTTCTACCCCACTGTGGCTGAGTTGGTACCTAAGCTGTAAGACAAAGTCCTTTTTACCTTTCCCTCTGTTTTTCTCAAACAGAAGTCTCTCACCATAGCCACCACGGCTGGGAATGTGCTGGGTCTCACCTGAAGCCAGCACGTCTAGATGCTGCCACTCTACAGTCTCACCTAAGGCTCACAATGTACTACCTGGGTATCGTTGCTGGTTCTTTAGGGCCCAAGGGCTCTTTAGTCAGCAGGTGATGAACCTGCCAGGACTGGGTCCTTCCTTTGAAGGCAGCAGGTTTCCTTCTGGTCCAGGGTGTATCTAGATATGCTGTCTGGGAGCTAGGGCCTAGAATGGGGGCCTCGTGACTCTGTCCACTGCCCTATGGTACTGTGGCTGACCTGGTCTCCAATTTGCAAGACAAAGGCCTCTTTACTCTTCCATCTCCTCATGCAGAAGAAAGGAGTCACTTTTGTTACTGCAAGCTGTGCTGCCTGGGGTTGTGGGAGGGGTAGCATTAGCACTCCCTTCTCTGCTCTGGCTGGTGTTTCACTAGGTTGTGTGCACCCACCCCGACCCCCTATGTCCACTGGCTCTGAGCTCAGTACAGCACTAGGGCTTGCCTAGGAATGGCAGTCTTTGTGGCCTAGACTGCTTTCAAGCTTGTTTAGGACCCCAGAGCACTTTAGCCCAAGGTGGTGAGGCTTGACGAAACTGAAGTTCTGACTGCTGGGATGGGCGATTCCCTTCTGGCTAGGGTTGGTCTAAATGCTCCCTCTATGGGTGGGTGTCAGCAGAGTTCAGCTTGGTTTTGCTTTCCACTATGACAGAACAGCACTGAGTTCAATGCAGGGTTCCACAATTGCTGTGCTCTCCCTCCCCAAAGCTTACAAGTTCTCTGCACCATGCATGGCCACCAGGAGATGGGGGAATGGTGGCATCAGCAATTCAAGATTGTCTTCAATGCTTCTTTTGGTGATATGATGTTAAAACCAGGTATTGTGATTGTTCGACTCATTTTTGTTTCTTATGAAGGTACTTTTATATGTGGATAGTTGTTAAATTTGGTGTTTTTGTGGGAGTGTGTGTGGGGGGGGTGATTAATAAAGACTTCTATTCAGCCATCTTGTTCCACCTGTGTTTTTGTGTTTCGTTGTTGTTTTTTATAGAGATGGGGTCTCACTGTTTCCCAGGCTGCTCTCAAACTTCCAGGCTTGAACAATCCTCCTGCCTCGGCCTCCCAACCTGCTGGGATTACAGGTGTGTGCCATCACACCCATTTGAAGACATCCTGTTTTGAAGACAAGCCTAGGCTAAATGACCTAGCTTACTGTCTAATGATGTATGTTGCTAATGTTGTCAAAAGCATATTTGCCCATGTTACCTTCCTTAATTCTTGACCATGATTGTCTTCTTCATTAAGAAACTAGGAAATGGAACTTTGATCAACTGCTGAAAACTACTTACTCCATAATAGAAAGAGAAGTATAATGAACGAATACTAGATTCTGAGCTGAATGAACCTTCCTAATTTTCTAAAACCCCTTTTGCTAGATCCAAAGGATTTTGAAAAGGATCTGGGATGTTTCCCATAATAAAGAAAAAAGGCAGTTTATAATTCAGATATTAATGATAAGAGTGTACAAAGAAAAGGTTTTTTTTTGAGTTTTCAGAGTCTAAATAATAGAGTAAAAATAAACATGAAAAGTTATGAGATCAAGTGTAGGCATTACAGGAACTGCTCAGCTATGCAAAGAAGCTGTTTAAGAGAGGAAATTAATCTGTCTATAACTAATAAGAATAAAGGCAGCTTATATCAGACAGCATAGAAATAATTTATTAACTAGTCTTCAATTTAAACATCTATTATCAAAGCTGATTATTATATATTGCAGTGCTTTTCAAATTTCACTTCTTAATAGAACCCCCTTCTATTTTTACAACTGAAATTTCATAAAATAGATAAACATGAAGCTGTTCTTTTTAAAGCAAGAACTTCAAAATGAGGAGGATAGAATAAAATCCACTTGATCTTCCCTATTCCCACTGCACCAGACCTTAAGACTCCTCTAAGAAAAGAGTTTGAAAATCATCAGTTCAAACAAGGTGTTCTATTAGTCTAAGTAAGGTTTTATTAAAGTGGTCATGAGTAAAACTGATTATGAGAAAATAAAAATATGTCTTAATTTCTAAACTGGGTCCTTGATCCATTCTTGTACCACTAATCAAAGCATGATATCTTTTTAAACACTTTGTGACTATTCTTCCTAACAGGCGTAAGCTAGACTCTCTTGTAATTTGTCTGTTCTTTTCTGCCTCAGATCTTAATCTCTGGGATCCTAAGACTGCTTGAGACTTTTTTTTTCTGGTTTTCCTTTTTATTTAATCAAAGACTGGTGAATAAACATAAATACAGCACAATTACTTCAGATCATTCTTCATATCGTATACACACAAACCCATGAACATAATCTGAAAGAAACCTGTAGACAGCAATGAAATGCATACAGCTTTTTCTTCCCTCGCTCAAAAAAAAGTTTAAACACACAAACTTAGAATCTCATCAGCACACACTCTCGTGACAAATGATTCAGACATAAATAGTGGGTGCAAAGAAACTATATGCTAACATATGAATAACCTTTGTTAATGAAAAAACAGAAGCAGCCATAATGATTAAGATACATTCAGTTACCGATAACTAGTTGTGCCCCAAAGGGCATTATCAAAAGAGAAATCGTGCTGCAAAGAAAAGCAATATATATGTACACAATGAGAAAATAAACTGCAAGATTAATGCATGCATATTTAATACTGGAAAAATCACAGTCCACCAAAATTTCTGCACGTTTGTTATAAAAGCCCTCTGCACTCAACTAAAATTAAAATGATCTTATAAGGATAATACTTGTAAAGTTTAAGTCTTCTCAGCCACAGAAATTGCAATGGAAATAAATGTTCAGAGTCATTTTCAAAACAAAATCAAAACAAAAATCTATTCATCCGATGACATGCAAGATACACTGCTCTACTTTCCCAATGACTAGGGAAAAAAAAACCTCAAGTCAATTTTTAGTTTGCAGATGATCAAGAATTTTGTATTCCAGCAGGAGTTCAAATCTTTTGGATCTTCTCGCCAACAACTACTGGATTTTCTTTTCTGATTTTCTCAGCGGCATCAGCTTTGTAATTTTAAGAGCAATTGTGTAGATCTGAGTAACAGTGTACACCACAGTAAACATTTCTACACCGCATTCAAACCTAGTAAGTCCCACTTTCTTCCTGCACATGAAACAGAGATTCTTTTTTTGTTTTGGTTTTTCAAGAGACTTGCTTTGCTCTTCAGATGGCTGCTGTGCCATGTCTGATACTGAAGCCTGCAGATCTTCTGTTTCAGGTACTGCTTGTCCACAGATGTACTGTCCAATTGAGAAGATGCTACAGATTCTGATAAAAGTGACTGATTTGATACAGGGCTTGGCTGCATAGATGAAGATGTAGAGTCTAATGTTGACTGGGCTTCTGGGACACTGCCATCTGTGCATTGAACTGGTAAAGATTCAGAGGTTGCAGGTTGGCTTATTCTACCATTACTACTATTCAGTCTTTGAAGATGTTCTTTATAGCATACTGAACACGTGCCATTTGTACGAGGGTTTCCATAAAATCCGCAGCCAGTGGAACAAAGCATAGGTACTTGGCTGTGATTAGTTTCTTGAGCCATGTTCCTCCATTGCACACCAACAAAACCTCCACAATTTTCTGTTTGCTTCACCTCAGATTAACTTCACTTGAAGCTGTGCTTGAGACTTTCAAACAGCTAAATTCTGAACTGGAAATACCATTTCTCCTGTGAAAGGAAGGGAAGTATGTCTATTTGTAAAGAAACAAAGAAAAAAAAGTATTTAACTTACCCAGAGTACAAGGACATTCATGAGATGGTCTATCTGTGTTCGTTTAAAAGTGGACTTTCCACTATTCTGCATTAATTTGGTATCTGGCCCTAAATAAAACAGGAAGATATCAGATATTAGAATCACTGAATATACTCAGAGGCTTGGAATTGGCTGAACTGTACCTTTATGATAATCTAATCTAACCACTTTCCAATGCTAGAGGATAAAGCCCTAGAGAAAGGCTCACGGTTTTCAATAACTCAAAAAACGGAAAATTTTTTCTAAGGATAGTTCCAATGACTTCTGTAAAGTACATTCATGCAGATCCCTCTCTTTGTAGCACCTCAGACAGTCTCAACTTTCATAGATGCGTTAAATTAGAAGAGGAGTTGCAAGCTTCTCTCTTATCACCATCTGGTTTATTTAGCTTAGAGAAGGAATTTTCTGATAAAGAGATCCCCATCATCTTTTGAGAAAGCTCACTGCTGGCTCAGGCTATACTGAAAGTTTCTAACTCGGAATGGAAGAAACGAAAAGGCAATGGCAGTGATTTCTTCTGAGGTGGAAGCAGGGGAGCTGAGACTCCTCTGGAGCTGAGAGACAGAGATTCCATGTTTCTTCATGACAGGACAGATGGTAGGCAGAAGTAAGGAGCTTTTAATGGCCAATGGGACTAGAGCTGGAAATTACTAATTCGAGCTATGGCTCCAGAGAAAATGTAAGAGGTTTAGAAGAAACTGTAAGCAATAATTTCTCTGGCCTTTCACCATCTGACCATTATTCTAACATGTGTTCTGATAAAGGACAGAAAAAGGAATTTCATCAATGTTTACACATGGGGAGCTGGGACATCTCTGATATGTGGGCAAACAGTGGGAGTGCAGAGCATAAGCTATGACATTCTTTCCTCTTAAGCATTCCTTGAAGGGCTTCAAGATATGAGAAGTTTGGCTCATAGCCTGGAAGCTACAGGGACCATATCTTCTAAGGGTCCTTAGACTGACCTTACCCCAGGCTTCAGGAAGAAGGTAGAAATCATCACAGAACTTGGACATCATGTAGCAGGAACAGCAACTCAATTCCATGCAAACACCTCAAAATGCTTTTAGGTGGCATTAGTTCTCTGCTCAGAGCTTCCCAAAGATACTCACTACCATGTAACCAACCTTGGGAAAACTTAACTACATTTGTGCTGGTTGGCAGCCCCACTGTTATTGCTTTCAGGAAAAAAACCTTTCGCTGAAAAATGAGCTTTTATGAGTGGCAATTGTGTGTGAGTAGCTGCTGAAGTACATACAGTGAAGAAAGTAAGTCTAATTTAAGTCTTTTGAGTTTGGGAATTAGGTAGCCTAGTCATTGCCACTCTAGATCAAGAACCAATGAAGGAAGTTCCACCAGGGCCTCCCTAGACGCTTAAGCTTCTCCCTAGGGATTTGGTCTCATTACTTTTCACAGAAGCAAGGAGTCTAAAAGCCTCATGTCTAGGAGTAGATGCTCTAGAAGGGGAGCTCTGGGAATCTGAGTTGAATAATATTCACTGTGGTAAATCTTTCTTGATATTTCCTACTATGGTTGTTGTCACTGAGAGAATGGGGCAGCACAGAGGCTTCCTCCATTTTCCTGAACCACATCATAACCCAAGAAAATCTCTTACTAAATATAATGAATTGTGGTTCTAAATAACATCTCAAGAGGGGCCACTATTAATGATCCATATGTGACTTTTCTGTGGCATGAACTTTTTACATTATATTTTTCTCTATAATAAGCATTGTGTCCATCCTCTCTTCATGGGAATAGTTCATATGTATACTCTCCCCCTTCACATGGTAATTCTATCATACTTCCTCTGTATGTATACCCTCTCCTGTGTCCAGATCTTGTTAAAGAGACTCATGGATGCCCTGTGGTTTTGGAACACAATGCCTTCCTCTAACAAAGGTAGAACCGATATGTTGGAAGTTCATTGCTTGGAAACAGAAGGCACTTTTTTTCCCTAAGAAACAAGGTTTTTTCCCACAAATCTCCCATCCATCCATCCATCCATCCTTCTACCTGCCTATCTATCTCAAAACCATAGTGTTCTGAAATATATCTGAGTGTCATATCCACATCCTGAAAACTAAGTACCCATAGCTCAGCCATGAATGGAATTTAGCAGGCTGGGGGCCAAGGGAAACGTACCAGTGTAGATCACCAAGCCATAGCACCAATCTGTATTCCTGATGTTGCAGCCTCAGAGTAGCAGCTTGTCATGGTCCAGGAAGTAGTTTTTCCCCTTATAGGTCAGTATTCCTGAGAATTTGTCCAATTTGTTATTGGGAGCCTCACATCTCACTTCTCCTGCAGAAAAATGAAGGTGTAAGAGTTCTGGATCTCTAATCTTAGGCTTTTCCTAAGGATGAAAGGAGACTTAATAGAAAGGAGGAAATAAAATTCTTCTTTCAAAATACATACACATCTTTTTCCTATCCTCTCTCAGTTACTGCCCATTTCTCACCAGCTCCTTCAAGAAAGGCAGACAAAGGTTTCTGGGAACTAAAGAAGAATAATTCTGTATGTGACATGGATCATCCAGAGAGAGAGAAAACCCCACATGATGGTGACATCAGTACTGCCAGATCATAAGAGCTCTGAATCTGAAGAAACTCAAAAACGACTCAAAGCGAACCTAGTATTTTTTTTCAAAATGGAAACAACTTGACATTTTCCTGATTAGTAAAGTAAATATGCCCTTTGTAAATGTTTAAGTAATACTAAAATGGTAAAGAAGGAAGTAAAATTCATTCACTGTCTTGAGAAAAGTGCTATTTACCTTTTGAAGTACATCCTTCTATGTTTTTTCTATGTAAGTACTCATAAACATACCTATATTTCCAAAAACAGGTTTATGTTATATACACTATGCAGTCTTTTGTAAATTGTATTTTTCTTTTAATTACATGTTGTATTTTTTATATTTCAATAAATATCAACTTGCATATTGTTGTAATAAGTTGTATAGAAATCACTATGGATGTACCATACTTTATTTAACCAGTACTCTACTGATGAAAATTTAGGTAGGAAAACCCATTTCCTAACTCACCATTAAAGGTAGACAGAAGCTCCAGGCGATCTTCCATGTCACTGGTAACTGAGATGGCCTGCTTCACTTTCAGGTTGGTTTCACTAGAGTAAAAGACAAGTGACCACTGTACAGGACACAAACAGAACTGTTGTACGGGTGCAGTATCTCCTACTTTTTCATGGGGTTTTAGAAAATAGATGTTACCAGTAGAGACTGGGCTATGAGTCTGAGCTGTAAAAGTCACTCCCACTGCTTCTCTCTCAGTATTGAGGTGAGATGGCTCTTCAAGGAAGCTGAGTGTTAGCTCACTCACTCCCGTCTCTTTCCTCTCACTCTCTGCAACACACTGCCACTACTTAATCAACTCATGAGATCTAGCTGGTCAGGTGCTCTAGAGAGGCTGAAGAAACATCATAAACAACCTGGAGATAGTACCTGCTCCCTTCAAGAATAAGGAGTATGCCTGTAATCCCAGCACTTTGGGAGGCCGAGGTGGGCGGATCACGAGGTCAGGAGATCGAGACCATCCTGGCTAACACAGTGAAACCCTGTCTCTACTAAAAATACAAAAAATTAGCTGGGCGTGGTGGTGGGCGCCTGTAGTCTCAGCTACTAGGGAGGCTGAGGCAGGAGAATGGCATGAACCTGGGAGGCGGAGCTTGCAGTGAGCCGAGACTGCACCACTGTACTCCAGCCTGGGGAACAGAGCTAGACTCCATCTCAAAAAAAAAAAAAAAAAAAAAAAAAAAAAAGAATAAGGAGTATGGCCAGACATGGTTGCTCACGCCTGTGATCCTAGCAGTTTGGAAGGCCAAGGCGGGAGGATCACTTGAGCTCAGGAGTTCAAGGCCAGCCTGGACAACACAGCGAGACCCTGTCTCTATTTTTTTTAATTAAATTTAATTTTTTAAAAAAAGAATAAGGAGCAGATCCTGGTAAAAACTTGCACATACCTCCGAGGAAACATACTCCACACCTCATAAATATTTATGGGGCCCATGACAGGCTCTTAAGTAACTGCTTGCTGGAATGCATAGACAAAAAGAAAAATGGAATCCATGTTTCAAAAAATTGTGTGCATCAAGAAGTACAGTTGTAGGAATGAAGATCAATACAAAACTCTCCAGGATAAGCTTTCTGCAGATGGCTCTATCCTCCTAAGACCTTAGCTTTTGGATGTTAATAAATGTCTACCTTAAATCCTTTATAGAACATGGTATTTTATCAGTGAATAGATATGTTTATATTCACATTTTTTCCCTTGGAAACTTTGAAACTGTACTCTGAAATGTTACAGTTCTGTTATCCTCTTTCCTGCTACTCAGCCTTATAGAATATGGCCAGAGTGTCTCCAATTTAGAGATGGAGAATGTGGGGTTTATTTGCCCTATTCTGTGCCCAGTGAATGCTCAATTGTTCCTGTCAAGAGCTCAGTCTTAGACTTGAGGGTCCCAACGATGTGGTGTCCATCTTCTCTTATCTGGATATTTCTAGGCTCTCTGGCTCACCTATTCAATATTCCATCTGAGAATAAAATTAATTCCCTGCCTAATGCTGTCCCTCAGTGAGAGACCACTCTAAGCTGGCTAAATCATCTTAATGGAGCATCAGGAGGGAACACTTACCCATCCAGGTCTGCTGTCTCTATGTATGTCAGACTATATGGCTCACTGCTAGAGAGTAATAGTATATCTGCCTGTAGTCAGAAAAGTCAAAAAAAGTCAGGAAAGCAGGAAGGTGGGCTGTTAACATTACAGTGTGACAAAAGCAGTCACCTTAGGAACAGATGTTCAACCTAAGCATTTTACAGACACTGATTTACTTTCTTTCACTGCTATCATACACCCTCTCCCAAAGCTACTCACACTTTCCCTGTAACTACAGTGAGAAATAGGCAAGAACAAGCTTCTTACTGCAAGAGCTGTTGATTTCTGATGCAAAATGGGCAACAAAGGTCACCAAAAGGAGTGGTAGCAGAAGTGCTCCAAGAGTCCCTGGTACCCACTCAATCCAAAAAAGAACAAGTCACAGCCAAAAGAGGTACTCACCATGACAGGCTGATTATTTTCTAGTTTTATTATATCTCCCACTTGAACATTCATCCATTTGTCCTCCTTTATCCTGTAAGAAAATGACCCTTGAATATCTGCTCTGAGAATTTCCCCAAGGCTCTGCTTTGACAATCAAGATGATTCCCCACCCTCCAAAAAAGGCTGAAAGGAATAAAGACAAGGCTCAAACTGTTCTGTGATGCATCCTTGCTGCAATCAAGAGTGGGGCCCATTTCTCTTGACTTCAGGCTATAAGGGTTCTAAAGCCCTACAAAAGTACCTGTAGACATATAAGCACATAAATTTTTTTTTTTTTTTTTTTTTTTTTTTAGCCAGGTCTCGTGGCTCATTCCTGTAATCCTAGCACTTTGGGAGGCTGAGTGGGAGGATTGCTTGAGGCCAGCAGTTCGAGACCAGCCTGAGCAATACAGCAAGGCCCTGCCTCAAAAACATTAAAAAAAAAAAGGTTTTTAAAGTAAAATAGTTCCAATGGTAAAGTGTGTAAAAGGAAAAATTAAAGTCTTTTCTATTTCCAGCCTTTAGTTTTGCTCCCCAAAGATAGCTGCTGTTAATAATATTTTTGTATTTATTTCTAGAAAATACCAATCCATGTAATCACATATAATACACATCTAAATCACATTTAAAAGCCACGTACTAGATACATAATTTTCTGCACTTTGCATTTTTCATTTAACAATCCATCTTGGAGAGCACTTATAGAAGATGTAGCTCATTCTTTTTGATAGCTTAAATGTGTTCTGTCATAAGGTCACATCAATTTTATCTACTTACGTTTTGTTTTTTTTGAGACACAGTCTCGCTCTGTCTCCCAGGCTGGAGTACAGTGGCATGATCTCAGCTCACTACAACCTCTGCCTCCTGGGTTCAAGTGATTCTTCTGCCTCAGCCTCCCGAATAGCTGGGACTACAGGCTTGTACCACCACACCCAGCTAATTTTTGTATTTTTAGTAGAGATGAGGTTTCACCATGTTAGCCAGGCTGGTCTCGAACTCCTGACCTCGTGATCCGCCTGCCTCAGCCTCCCAAAGTGCTAGGATTACAGGTGTGAGCCACTGCGCCTGGCCTTTATCTACTTAGGTTAAAATTAGATTATCTTTGATCCTCAAATCCCTACTTTCCATAAAAGGCAGCCTGGCAATATGAGCAGATTCTACAATAATGGTGGTTCTCTGCCCTCCTCTTTTTTTTTTTTTTTTAACCTCAATTTCCCCAAATACACAGGGTCCATAAATCCTTCCTCTCTGAGAAAGGACTAAGAAGAATGTACATATTGCCACAAGCATTTTGGAAACATGAGCTATATCCTTGCAACAGTTATATTATGCCAAGCACCCAAAGAGCGGGAAAAAGTCTACAGTCCACTGTCTGTTTTGTCTCTGAATGCAGGATTGCTATCTGCAGGGCATGACATACATCACCACTTTGCCAGCTACACATAGGCATGGGTATTCCTAGAACACCTTTCCTAAGAAGACAGCTGCTTTGAGGAGGGCCAAATTTTCCAAAAAAGTCCTTTTATATAAATCCACTGTTTCTTTTAAAGAATTTTCTGATAGTACTGTAGAATAGTAGCTATAAGCCTTGGAGACAGACATCTGGGTCTTTGTTTTATTTTGCCTTGACTTGACATTCACTGTTACTCTGGCATTCTATCTTCCACGGTTGTCACCAGTAAAACATAAAGAAGAACAAGTGCTGTCACATTCTAGCTTCTCCTGGAGATATAAAAATTAATAATTTCTTACATAAGGAGCTGCCAAACTATTACCAATTTGTTCCTGGACATTATAACAATCATGTGTCCCAGATTTGGGAGAGGTGAAGACATTCCTTACTGATTTAAAATACTCAATCCTGTAGTCCAAAACAGTAAGCATGTTCTGAAGCTGTTCTTGCCTTGGGTTGGGGAGGGATTGCCAGTCTTAATAATCTAATAATTTGAATTTCAATTTCTCCCACCAGAGGGACAAGAGATAAAGCCTTATGATTTTGAGAGTCAGTGAGTTGAAACTAAGAATTTCTCATAAAGTCAGGACCCTTGAGGGGCAACACCATTAGTGAAAGAGTGGTCTAAAAAAAATCGGCTCACTGGCAAGAAAGTTTGTCTATCTTAGTCTGGAGGGTTGTGGGGGTCAGTGAATGGAGGACTCTTCCCTGAAAATCTGTAACCTCATATTGGATGGGGCTCAAATTTATACTTCTTTCAAATTAGGTATCAGCAGGTAATACCCTTGAGTCAACTCACAGAAACAAACACAAACCCTTATAGAGGGACACAACCTCTCCTCCAGCCACTTAGAATTCCCTTAAAGTTCTACTAATGATGTGTTTGTAAACAAAATTATTGAGAAATGAAAAATGACAAAAATTACAGCTTATAAAATAGACAAACTTTTAAAATAGCAGCTCTGTTTATACCCATGTGTTCTACAAAAAGAAAGCTGTTTTCTGGAACACAGACTGTTTCAACAACCAACCTCACCTCTGCATATTAATCTAATCAGATACTCGGTAGCTTACAAAGTCTAACCAGGGCCTTGCCTGTTAACTCCCACCTTAAAATCCCTCTGTGACAAATTCTTCAATAATCTTATAAAACCCAAGTGCTCAAGCTACTTGGGTGAGTTCATTTGACTAAATCCTTTTGGTCAGCAATTCCTAATATACTCAGTTTTGTCTTTTCTTTTTATTTCTATTTCTCTACTTTCCTTTTTTTTTTTTTTTTTTTTTTTTTGAGACGGAGTCTCTCTCTGTCGCCCAGGCTGGAGTGCAGTGGCGGGATCTCGGCTCACTGCAAGCTCCGCCTCCCGGGTTCACGCCATTCTCCTGCCTCAGCCTCCTAAGTAGCTGGGACTACAGGCGCCCGCCACTACGCCCGGCTAATTTTTTGTATTTTTAGTAGAGATGGGGTTTCACCGTTTTAGCCGGGATGGTCTCGATCTCCTGACCTTGTGATCTGCCCGCCTCGGCCTCCCAAAGTGCTGGGATTACAGGCGTGAGCCACCGCGCCCGGCCTCTACTTTTCTTTTTAACTACAACTGACTTTTTTGGCGGTATCTTATGGGACATTTCAACAGGTCAAAACTCTTGAGGAAACAATCCATCGTGTGTAAGAATCAGCAGACAAAATACACAACAGGATTAGCTGCCCAAGCTCTTGAGATGATAGAATTATATGATAAATACTATAGCTATTGGGTGTTCAGTAAGGCCACCATGATAAAGGCTGGACCTCAATCCTGAACTCCTTCAGGTTTGCACTTTCTTGCAATCATGCTTCTGCCCACACTGGTCACTTTTCCTTTAACACAATCTCTACTTGTTGAATTCTTCCCCTTCCCTTAAGGCCTAGTACAAACACTACACCTCTTCCAGAAAGTCTTCCTTGATTCCTTTAACCAGTTATAATTGCATATTTTTATTAATTCCCATAGTAATTTTTTGTACCTCTTAGGATAGTCTTCATATTTTGCCTTACATAGGAATATGCCTGCCTTCTTCCATTCCTGCAACACTTTAGATAGCTATGACCAAACACTACAGCAGTGGGGCCAACATCAATACTCTGTTTAGATTTTTAACAGAAAAGATGACCTGACCAAAGGCTATAGTAGAATGGACAAAAACCATGTCAGAATCCATTAATGTTCTAAAGACAGATGTTTCCATGCTAACTACCACACTAATAATATCACTTGCATAGTAATATCATGTTATAAAATATTAATTGCTTTAATATATATTATTTCCTTTCTATTTTCACAAGCATCCTCTAAGGTAGAGAATATTATTTCTATCTTATAAAAAAGAAAAATGAGGCCCACATAGATATCTGAGGTGACATGACAAATTCAGGGCATGCTAGATCTAGAAACAAATTATTTCTATGTCTGAGGTTCTTTTCATTGTCCTGAGCTAAACCCAACCCTTTTTCAGGACTGGTCCTACCTAAACCAGCTTCTCTAGAAGAACTTACTTGCCATTCACCAGTAGCAGAACAGGCTGGTTGTTGACTCGATCGTCACTTTGATGCCTTTTCTAAAATCACACAAGAAAATGTTCAGGAAATAGACCTATAACAAACTGCATATAGAAGATTAACATTTTGAAATATTACACAATGTAGTTCCCTTCTTTGTAATTCTCCTTTTCCCCTGTCCCAAGCCCTTCTTTCCTTCAAACTAGGCCAAGAGGTTGATTATCTCTGGGAAGCTGGGAAGAGAGGGCAGGAAAAGAATCCAGGGAGAAGAAAGAGACAAAATTTTAGTTTTAAATATCAAAAGCAAAAAACCTGGAGGAATGAGAATAACATATCAAAAGCTGCAGAGGACACAATCCAAATGATGGGCAGGGCTACAGAATTCTGTCTGCCTGGGTAGGTGCTGGGAAAGCTGAGTATTCTCAAGCAGACTCCTACCCTACCTCCAACCATGGTTGACATACAGAAGCTTCTATAGTGGCTGAGGAAAGAGGCCAATATTTAAAGATCAAATAGAAGGGAAACAAATAGAGGCTATGTCCTGATGCCAGGATTCACATAAATATCTTCCTTCCAGTTGAGATTACTCCCTGAGTAAAGGGTAGGACTGGGAGTGGGGCAGAGAGAATCCTGAATTTGTCAGAATTCAAAATTGTCCAAATATTTATCATAAAGAGACTGAATTCTAAGCCAGAAGTAATTGGGTTACCATGAATTGGTAAATTAATTTTTGGTTCTCACTGGAGAGAGTTAAGATGGGGTATGCATGTGGTTATAAGCTAAACTGAGTTCAGTTATAGAGAAATAAAGTTATATTTTCGTACATCTAAGTTGTGACTGAAAGGTAAACCACAACATGCTAATCCTGGGTTTATAGAGATAAAGTGCTGAGGAAACAAGGTGCTCTCAAACTAGGCTAAAAATCTATTCTGGCAAAATCAGAAAGACCCTCTTAGGGAAACTGCAAGCAGGTCTATAGGACTGGCTTTCCAAATCCTACTAGTAGGCATGGTACTGGGTCCTTACTCTCACCCCTCTATGCTGGGCCTGCTGTAAGAGGCAAAGAGGAAGCCATGCAGCACTCACTGTGAGCCAGTTTCTCTTTCAAAGCCAGGACAGAGGGTTCCTAGCTGTGCACACTTAACAGAATTGAAAGTTGGAAAGGAAAATAGAGTTCGAGAGGAGACAGGAAATGTGGAGAGAAGAAAGAGAAAGAATAGGAGAGATGGAGCAGGGGCAGATAGAGGAAGGCAAAGGGAATATAGAGTAGGAGAAGGAGGAGCAGAGGAAAAAGGATGAGAACAAAGCTAGAAAAAGCTAAGAGAGGAGTAAAGAAAGAGTGGGTTATTAAAGATGGAAGGAGGCTCAGGAGAGGGGCTAAAAGTGGTGGCAGTAGGAAGATAGAGAAAGGCCTTGTTTTGCCCCTTTCTGGCCATACACAGACCACCAATCTTGGGCCTAAAGGTACTGCATATTACTCTGGGATGAATAAGGAAAGAAGAAAGGAAATATCTCTTTCCATTCAGGGTTTCTTGTTAGCACTAGGTAGTTCTGGGAAGTCCTTCATGCCCACAGTCTGACTAGGTGCAGTGAGGAAGTAGAGGCCCAGGAAGCTACTTCACCAGGTCATCGATGGCATCTTTCACAGCTGTTAATGGACAGCACCACCATCAGGGGTGTTATAGTTGTATACCATGTCAAGGAGGAGATCTGGGGAATCAACTAAGAGAGGGAAAGGGAGAGGATCTTGGGTCAGAAAACTGAAAGGATAATACATTCCCCCCCACCACATCCCTCACCCTCAACATCATTTTCACCTCCATTTGTTCATACTAAATCCAACTATCCTAGTTGCTTTCCACTGTTGTATCTTTCATATAACCCCCCAAATATAAGTAAACATTTCCCAAGGGAGGATAAAAGAATAAAAGGCTATAAGTTGCTACCTATCTATCCTGAACCCCACTACCTTTGTGTTGATGGCAAAGACCCATTTCTCCTTTGACAGTGAAAAGTAATGGGTATGGAGAGTGGGTAAAAGTAGATACAGAAAAACTACATGCTCTCCCACACCCTTCAGTACAAGGAGGAGTGAGATGACCTGTCCCTGTCTCCCAATTTGGGCCTACCCTGCCCTGCTTCCTGTTCTTATGCTGGCACTCATATTCTAAACCATTCTAAACCTTCTTTAGCACTCCCATATGTTAATTTTATGTCAAGGAGGCTGGGACAAGAAGGAGGAATAGAGTTGGAGTTGTGGTTGGGGTGAAGAATTCTGTAGCCCCCTATGGTCAAACTGAACTGTGGCAATACAGCCATGATGAGGAGCTCCCCTTCCTTGGGATGTGGTGACCTTGTCCCTTTCCTTGTGTAGAGGCTTGCTATACACTAGCTAATCCTGACCACAGCTATTCTAAGGGACTGGTCTGAGACTCCAGCCATCCACGTTCCTGTTGTCTAAAGAGAGAAGACATTTCCCAATTTAGGGAGGAGAAAAACTGATTACACAGCCTGACCCCAGAGAGGTTTATAAAATACTCTGTGAAAAAGGCCCCCAAAAGCAATACCTGTAAAAATAGCAAAATGAGGAAATATGCATTTGCAAGTCTCTGGAACTGTTCAAATAGGTTCAGGGGCAGGAAATTAAAGACACTATATTTTGAGGTCTTGATGGCATTGTTCTGTGAGTAAACAAACAAATAAACAAGAAATACACAATTAGACAAAAGACAGCTCAAAACTGGGTTGATAAGCAGCTGCGCCTACTTCCCAGTCTACCCCTAGAGAGGCCTAGAAGGTAGAAAGATGGCAAGACTGTTGGGTACTTGGGGGAATGTATCTCTGCCCTGATAGAGTTCTTGCTTATTGATGTTATTGATAGTAATAATGATAATCAAATCAACAGCAATAAAAACTTACATTTATTGAGTACTTACTTCGTGAAAGGCACTGTTCTAGCATTTTATATGTAGCAACTCATTTACTCCTCACAACAATCCTATGAAGGGGGTACTTTTGAGGATGAGGAAATTGAGGTACTGCATCCAGAGCTCTCTAACAAAGCTTTTCTTAGCTGAGCAAACTCAGTTTGGTGTGCCTTTCTGTGTTTTTTGCAATGTTGAAGGACGTCAGATGCTAAAAGCAAAAAACTGTCTTTCAATCCTAGCCCACTGAAGGTTTCTATAGGGGTCACTATCAGCATTGGAGAATCATTTGGCCCTTAATTGTCCTAAGAGGATTTAAAGAGTTTTGGCTTATATCTAAGCTACTATTTTGCTCAGTGAAAATGGGAACTTGTCTACTTCCTCAATTCTGATCTCAAGATGTTCACAGGACCATCTTACTTTCTACCTTGGAGTCTTAAATCATTTGTCCTAAGATGTCAGAGCTCAAATCTAAGAGCTCTAAAAGCAGGAGAATAAGACCAAATAATTCCCTAAGTTCAGGGCTCATCTCCTACCTCTTCCATTTAAAAGGACAGAACAAAAGAATAAAAATAACTAATGGATACTAGGCTTAATACCTGGGTGATTAAATAATCTGTACAAAAAATCCCCATGACACAGGCTTACCTATGTAACAAACCTGCACATCCTGCACATGTGCCCCTGAACTTAAATACAAGTTTGTTTGTTTTGTTTTTTTTAAAAGAAGAACCTACCTATTTCCTTAGGGATGAGAAGCTGGTCAAATAGCTTAGCACTTAGGAGTTTAGAGATCCAAGCCAAAACTAAGATTTCCTTGGTGTTCTCTCCATGATTTTCCAAATAATAATCAATCAGACAGTATAGCATTTCTCAAGGCTTGCTCTTTTCACAGCCTTATGCTGGACTATACTAGTGGAGGCTGAAAAATAATTAGACAGGATCCCTTCTGGAGAAGCTCATGGTCTGTCTTGAACGAAGTTCTAGTAAAATGATCTCTACAGGCCCTTCTCATCATGAGAGTATGTAATTCTAACATGGAAATAGCTTTCTTTGATCATAAGATACTTTGAATTTCTCAGTGTTTAAGTCCAGATGGCTGTGATACTTGGACCCAAAGATCTTCTGAGAGGTGGCCTTACTGATGTAGCTAGCCTTCACTGTTGATTTTCCATTTGATTTTATAGCCATTTAATATATTTCAGGTTTCTACTCACGTAGGTAGCATTCTGCCTCAAGATAGAAGTACAGGTATTTATTTATTAACTTGGCAACTAGAGCGTTTCATTTTGCTCTTAAATGTAAAACCAGAAGCAATATCCTAATAACATCTCCTTAACTATGAAGTTCCTCAGAGTTTAGTCCTTTTGGCAGAGGTGATAAAATTTAAACATGATAAGAGGTGGTTAATTTTGGTTTGGTTATTTTTTTCTTTGGGCAGTGATATGGGACTGAAGGTTAATTGGGAAAATAGAAGAGAATAAAAGGCCAAGGATATAATGAGAATCAGTAGTTAGGAGTTAGGAAGATGACAAGGAGTCACAGTGGAAGAAGTTAGAGAAATAGGAAAATGAGCAATGCTCAGGGCCAGGGAAATGAAATGGTGTTAAATATATCAGAATCAGTCAGATCTGTTCATTCACTCATTCAATATTCAATATATATTTATTGAATGTTGGCTGTGTGCACAACATTGTGATAGAAACTGTATCACAAATATACTGTGTATACAGAGATAAATGAGATACCCTTTTTCCAAGGGCTAATAGTTTTTTGGAGAAACAGAACTAACATTTTCAGAACCATACTTAACTCCTACGACCACCATGCAAGGTGAACATTATTATGCCCATTTTACAGATGAAAGAACTGAAGATCAGAGAAGTTAACAAACTTGCCTAAGACATTAAGGTTAGTAAAGGCTGAGCTATATTCAAACTCAGATCTGTCTGATGCCCAAACCTAGATTTACTGTCCCCACTGCTTGTTACGTAGGTCTAGAAGATAGAGAAGAGAAAAACCTGCTTTCATGGTCATATCTTGGATACTATTATTATCCAGAACTATTTGATATGGTTTGGCTCTGTGTCCCCCACCCAAATACCATGTTGAATTGTAACTCCCAGTGTTGGGGAGGGACCTGGTAGGAGGTGACTGAATCATGGAGGCGGCTTTCCCTCATGCTATTCTTGTGTTCTCACAAGATCTGATGATTTAAAAGTATAGGATCCTCCTCACTCTCTCTCTCTTTCCTGCCACCACGTGAAAAAGGTGCTTGCTTCCCCTTTGCCTTCTGCCAGGATTGTAAGTTTCCTGCGGCGTCCCAGTCATGCTTCCAGTTATGCCTGAGGAACTGTGAGTCAATTAAACCTCTTTTCTTCATAAATTACCCAGTCTCAGGTAGTTATTTATAGCAGTGTGAGATTGGACTAATATACCACTCTCACTCAGAAATCATAAACTAATATCCCACAGAGACCGCAGACATATATTTTTATATAATTATAGCTATGTATATGTATACATAGCTACACATGCATGGAATTATATTATGCTACACATGCATGGAATTATATTATGTATAAAACCATTGCTTGTGATCATAGAAGATTGAAAACAACCCAAATGTCCATTTAAAAGGAACTGGTTAAATAAAATATGTTAAATCTGCAGAGGAAATACTATATATTATAGCTGAAAAAGGAAAAAAAAGAAAAAAACTATTATGAAATTATGATGATGAAAACATCTCCAGGATATACTGTTAAGGTTCAGAATAGTGTAAAAATAGGAAAATAAGACTATATATTTGTATTTGCTTTATTTGCACAAAGAAACACTAATCTGATTAATACACACAAGAAAACTAACAGTGGTTCCCTCAGGGGAGCAGATATGGACAAGGATGGAGTATTGGAGCATGCCTTTTCAATATATATCTTTTCATGAATTACTTAGTTATAGACACATAAATAAGTGAAAAATGAACAATTCAATAGGAAGTGGGCAAAGATCATTAATAGGTATTTTCCAGAAAAAGAAATACAAAAGGCTAATTAACATGTATGTCATTTTCATCTAAGAGCTGGCAAAGATGACAAAGATTGATAATAATGAGTTTGACAGGAATGTGGAGAAACGGGCAGTCTCTAAGTAGAAACATAAATGGATATAATTCTTTTGGGGGGCAATCTGGCCTCTGATAATTTTTAATTTTTAGTGTGTTTTTCTTTTGAAACAGACAATTTACTTTTAGGAAACTTTCATAAGATACAGTCACACAAATGTGCCAAAATATATGTATAGTGGTGTTCATTCAGCACCATTTAGCATAGCAAAACACTGGAGACATTTAAATGTTCATCAATAGAAGACTGACTAAATAAATTCAGGTTTATCAATATAATGGAAAACAATGTCGCTATTAAATAAATGAGGGATATCTGTATGTGTTGTCAGATACATGTCTAAGTGAAAAAAGTAGAACTATGCTTTCATTTGTGCAAGAAAAACTACAGTATTTATTTTCTGGGAGTTATATATAAACCTGAAATCTAAGACATTCTCTCCCTAGCTTATGTCACTAGATTAATTTTGGCTTCTGAGCCTTCATTGCATTGTATAGGAGCTTGAAAGAAAGTGTAATAGAATCTGTGTTATAGGATCCACAACTACAAAGAATTTCACGCTCCCCCAACAAAGAAGAATATTATAGGAGAATACTGACCCCCTTCTGAAACAGCCAGAGGGATGACACTCACCGGATATCCAAAAATACTGTTGAATTCTTTGTTGTTGGCTTGCAGATATCTCTCATGTTCTGAAAAAAGATAGGATAAACGATGAGATGGATGCCCCTGTGTATATCAGACTGGGATGTTGGCTGCTAGTGAAGACTTCACTAGATCCCCACACTTTCTTGCTGAAGATGTCTATTTAAGCATGGGATTTTGTCTCTTTAATCAAAAGAATCAAGAAATATAATAAAAATAAAAATGCTCAAGTATTCAAGCTTTCTGGAGGCAACAGGACAAGTAACTCCTGAGGAGTTCTCCACCATCAATGCTTCTAGTACTTCCTAGATCATGTCTCCACAGACAACAAGATGGTCTGCACCAATTTTACTGACAAACACAGAAACCCAGCCTTCCCTCATAAGTCAATTTTAGCACTTTGTCTTAATATATCTGAGACTCTTTTCTAAGCCAACTTGTCCTAAACTTGCTTAACTAAATTTAAATTAATAAACAATGACTGAGCATCTATTGCACAGAGGCCAGTGTACTGGATGCCGTGGAGGGATAAAACGATGAGTAAGACAGTCTCTGACTTCAAGGACTTTAGTATAGTAGGAGTAAGCCTGATAACTACTTGACAAAATCATCACATCAAAACAGAGGTGTTTGTTACAAACTACTACAAATAGTGAGCCTGTTACCATGTTATGAACAAACAAATTATATATATATATAATCAATAGATCTTTCTCCCCTGAATGAAACATTCCTATAGTCTCTTTGGTTCTTCCTTGGTTCAGCAAGCATTTGCTGGGTTCTTGGCAGGTTCAGGCCCTGTGCTAGGTCCTAGGGTTACGAGATGAGGAAAACATCATCCTGACCATCTTGGTACTATTCCTAGTAGGACAGACAAATATAAAATAAAATTTCAATCTAATGTAAGGGCAGAGCTACAGGTTGGAGGTGCACAGAAGAGGGGATGGAAGTCAAGGAAAGTAGGACATAGATGTATTCCTGGAGGAGATGCCTTAGTTATTTGGATGATATGGATTAAGTGCTTCCCAGTTCTCTTAAGCCTGTGTATTATACCAAGCAATATAGAATTTAGCCTGAAGGCTGACAGTGCTCCTAAGCTTTCTGCCCTTAATGCTTCTAGTAATTCTTAGGTAATGTCTCCATAGAATTTGCCCCCTCAGAGAGTGGGTCGTAGCAACCCCTCTGCCTCTGAGTTGTATTGAATATCTACTTTAAAGCTCTTCTGGCCCTCTAAGGTCCTCCTTGGCCCATGGCTCCCAAGATTAAAAAGAAACTTCTTTCCTTGGCCCTCAAAAATTCTATCCTAGGCTACCGACTCCTACTCTGATCTTGAACTACTTGATTCACTCCTCCAAGAGGAGTCTCTGGCTCCAGGTCCTAGAAACCCAACTCTGCAATTGTTCAAGTTTTTTTTTTTTTTTTGAGCTATGATTCATATAATATAAAATTCACCCCCTGGAAGTGTACAATTGAATGGCTTTTAGTATATTCATGGTTATGCAACCATCGTCATTAATTCCAGAACATATTCATCACCCCCCAAAGACACCTCATACCTGTACTCTCAATTCTGACCTCTCCTCTCAGTCCCTGGTGGACACTAATCTATTCTCTGTGGATTTGTCTATTCTGGACATTTTACATAAACAGAAGCATAAAATATGTGGTCTTTTAAAACTGGTTTCTTTCACTTAGAATAATGTTTCCAAGGTTCATTCACGTTGTAGTACGTATCAGTATTTCATTCCTTTTTACATCTGAACAATATGTCAATGTTTGGATGTACCACATTTTACTTATCTATTCATCCATGATTGGGCATTTGGTTTGTTTCCACCTTTTGGCTACTGTGAAGAATATGGCTATGAACATCCCTGTACAAGTTTTTGTGTAAACATGTTTTCATTCCTCTTGAGTATACACCTAGGAGTAGAATCAATAGGTCAAATGGTAACTTTATGTTTAATTTTTTGAGCAACTGCTAAACAGTTTTCCACAGTATCTGTACTATTCTACATTCCCTCCTCACAATGTATGAGTGTCCCAATTTCTCCACATTGTCTCCAGCACTTGTTATTGCTCATGCTTTTTACTTTAGCAATTTTAAAGGCTGTGAAATAGTATCTCACTGTGGTTTCGATTAGCATTTCCCTAATGACTAATGATGATGTTGAGTATCTTTTCATGTGCTTACTAGTTATTTGCATTTTTTTTTTGAAGAAATGTCTACTCAGATTATTTGACCATTTTAAAAAAATTTCAACTTCTGTTTTACAGACAGGGGTGCATGTGCAGTTTTGTGGCATAGGTATATTGCACCCACAACCCCTCCCCCTCTAGTAGTCCACAGTGTCTACTGTTCCCCTGTTAATGTCTTTGACCATTTTTAAATTGCGTTGTCTCTTTATCACTGAACTGTAAGAGTTCTTTATATATTCTGGATAGAAGGCCCTTATCAAATATATGACTTGCAAATATTTTGTACCATTCTGAGTTGTCTTTTCATTTTCTTGATGGTTGGCTTTGAAGCAACAAAGTTTTTTATTTTGATGAAGTCCTATATGCATTTTCTTTGGTCACTTGTGTTTTTCGTGTCATGGTTTAGAAACCATTGCTAATCCAAGGTCATTAGAATTTACTCCTATTTCTTTTTCTAAGACTTTTATAGCCCAGACGCAGTGGCTCACACCTGTAATCCCAGCACTTTGGGAGGTTGAGGCAGGAGGATTGCTTGAGCCCAGGAGTTCAAGACCAATCTGGGCAACATAGTGAGACCCCATCTCTATAAAAACTAAAATTAGGCATGATGGTGCAGCCTGTGATCCTAGCTATTCAGGAGGCTGAGGTGGGATGATCATTTGAGGCCAGGATTGAGGCTGGCCAATGAGCCATGATTGCACCACCACACTCCAGTCGGGGCAGCAGAGCAAGACTCTGTCTCCAAAAATAAATAAATAAATAAAATTAAAAAGAGTTTTATAGTTTTAGCTCTTACATTTAAGTCTTTGATCTATTTTGCATTAATTCTTGCATATGGTGAAATAGGGGTCCGTTTTTATTTTTATATTTTTGTATTGTGTATATCCAGTTCTACCAGCACCATTTATTGAAGACTATTCGTTTCCCAATGAATAGTTTTAACGTCCTTGTTAAAAATCAACTGACCATATGCATTTTCTGTATCTACTGAGTTAATGCAGTTTTTACCCTTCACTCTGTTAATGTGGTATATCACATTGATTAATTTGCATATGTTAAGTGATCTCTGCATCCTAGAGATAAGACCTACTTGGTCATGACATATGATTCTTTTACTGTGATACTGAATTTATTTGCTAGGATTTTGTTGAGGATTTTTGCATCTATCAGAAGTATTGGCCAATAATTTTCTTTTCTTGTAGTGTCTTTGTCTGGCTTTGGTATCAGAGTAATGCTGGCATGATAAAATGAGTTGAAAGTGTTCTCTCTTTTTCAATTTTAGGAAGAGTTTAAGAAGGACTAGTGTTAATTATTTTTTAAATGTTTGATAGAATTAACCTGTGAAGCCATCTGGTCCTGGGCTTTTCTTTGTTGGTTGGTTTTGTTTTAGTTTTTGTTTTGAGACAGAGTCTCACTCTGTCACCCAGGCTGCAGTGCAGTGGCATGATCTCAGCTCACTGCAAGCTCCCTGGTTCAATAAATTCTCCTGCCTCAGCCTCCCAAGAAGCTGGGATTACAGGCGCCTGTTACCACGCCCGGCTAATTTTTGTATTTTAGTAGAGATGGGGTTTTGCCATGTTGGCCAGGCTGGTCTCAAATTGCTGACCTCAAGTGATCTGCCTGCCTCGACCTCCCAAAGTGCTGGGATTACAGGCATGGGCCACCGCACCCGGCCTGCTGGGAGGTTTTTGATTACTAATTCGATCTCCTTACTTATTAGTCTGTTCAGATTTTTTCTTTGTTAATCAGGCTTGGTAGGTTGCATGTCTCCAGGAATTTATCCATTTCTTCTAGGTTATTCAATTTGTTGGCATATAACTTTATAATAGTCTCTTGTGATCCCTTTTATTTTTGTGGCATCAGTTGTACATTTTCTCTTTCATTTTGGATTTTAGAGTCTTTTAAAAATAAAAGTTTACCTAAGGGTTTGTCAATTGTGTTTATCTTTTCAATAAACCAATTCTTAGTTTCATTATTTTTTCTTGTTTTTCTATTCTCCATTTTATTTATTTTTACTCTAACTCCTTCCTTCTGCTAACTTTGGGCTTAATTTGTTCTTTTCCTAGTTCCTTAAGGTATAAAAGTAGGTTGTTTAATTGAGATCTTTCTTTTTTTTTCCTTAATGTAGGCATTTATTGCAATAAACTTTTCTCTTAGAACAACTTTTGCTGCATCCCATAAGTTTTGTTATGTTTCCACTTGTATAAAGGTATTTTTATTTCACCTTTTGGATTTTTTTTTCATCCATTGGTTGTTATTCTAGTTTCATACCATGTAGTTAGGAAAGATACTTAATATACTTTCAATCTTTTTACATTTGTTAAGACGTGTTTTGTGGCCCAAAATATGATTTATACTGGAGAACAGATCCATGTGCACTTGAAAAGAACAATATATTCTGCTGTTTGGGAATGGAATGTTCTGTATATATCTGTTAGGTCCATTTGTTCATAGTGTTATTCAAGTCCACTGTTTCCTTGATTCTCTTTCTGAATGATTCTACTGTTGAAAGTGGATTATTGAGGTTCTCTACTTTACTGTACTGCTGTCTATTTCTCCCTTCAGTTCTGTTTATCTTTGCCTTATACACTTAAAGTAATTATAGATAGGTAAGTATTTAGCATTGCCATTTTGTTAATTGTTTTCTGAGTGTTTTGTAGTTCGTTTGATCCTCTCTTGCTGTCTTCCTTTGGCCTTATACATTTAAGTGCTCTGTTGTTGGATGCATTTATATTCACTAGTGTTATATCCTATTTATGAATTGGCCCCTTTATCATTAAATAATGACCTTTCTGTCTTTTATGACAGATTTTTCTGACATAAGCATAGCCACCCTTGCCCTCTTTTGGTTACCATTTGCATGGAGTATCTTTTTACATCCCTTCACTTTCAGCCTATGTATGTCCTTAAAGTTAAAGTGACTCTCTTGTGGGTAGCATATTGTTAGATCTTATTTTTTTGTTTTGTTTTGTTTTTTCATTCAACCATTCTAGTCAGTCTTTTGATGGGAGAATTCAATCTATTTACATTTAAAGTAATTTAAGATAGGTATTTACTATTGCCATTTTGTTGTTTTCTGAGTGTTTTGTAGTTCCTTTGTTCCTCTCTTGCTGTCTTCCTTTGTGATCTGATGACTTTTGTAGTGGTGTGCTTTGATTCCTATCTTTCTCTTTTCTGTATCTACTAGAGGCTTTTTCTTTGTGGTTACCATTTGTACAAATTGTGACCAAGATGAAACTGGGATGTTCAGCTAGGTTTACCCAAGGATTTGAGAGTAAACAGATTTAGATTATGTACACTAATTTGGATAGAGTTGACATTTTTGCAATATTAGCCCCCTATCTGGTAACATGCTATATTCCTGTGAGAGAGACAGAGAGATAGCTGTTGGTGTCCTCCTGGGACGCCACTCCTTTGTGCATGATGATCATGTCTATATAGTCAGCTTACCAGCAATACATAAGCAAATGGCTATGAGTCTTCTCTGGACTATGCTTACAACCCAGCTATGCAGCTTGTAGTTTGTTCTACTGTACTAGTACATTTCTTCCTTCTTATATTTTATTCTTGTGATTATTAGGATGAATGGTTACTGGATGATTACTAGTTGAATAAACATGGGAGAAGTTTTATACTTATGTGAGATGGGATTGATATATTTTGTGGAGCTTTATTTTGACTGGTTAGTGGCTTATTTACAACTGTGTGATACAAGGGCTTCTGCTAATCATTGAAGCTTAGCTTCTCTGAAGCAGTGGAATATGCATAGCTCAGATAATTTAGTCACATCTAGGATTTAGAGCTGGTGTATGGCATAGGCCCTTTGTGCAGGGACTTTCTCAAGGGGCACAGATAGCTACCTGATTAAGGCAGGGTACCAGAGAAGTACTGGTGTTTCTACTAGTGTTGAGATTCTCCAGTCCTTGGACAGGCTATGTTCATACTCAATATATTAATGGATTACTGAATAAAATCAGTTTCTCCCATGCCATTTATCCCTTCAGACCAGTAAAACGTTTCTATTTGTTTAAAAATATTATTTTATAACTTTTGATAAAGTTATAATATTTTCTTACTGGATTTCACATTTCTTATTAAATTTAATCCTAAATATCCCTGATTATTTTTTAACCTAACAAGGGTCTAACAGCCTCTGCCAGCAACTTATCTGGGTGAAACAGGCCATTCTCTCACTAGTTCTGAGGGATACCTGGGGTTCAGCCTCTATGCAACAACTGAATACTGAACACATATCTCCCTCTTTGAGTTGAAGAGTAAAGTAAAGCAGTAGATCTCAAGGTTCAGAGCCTGAGTTGCTAAAGACAGATTGAGACTCCGAAGTAGGGGCAGGATTAACCTTCACCTTGTTCTGGCTCTTTAATGACAGACCTGCCATGAAGAAAGAAGAAGGAGAAAGGAAAGTAGGATTTTCACCAGGAGAAGAGGAATTGGGGGCTAGAAAGCCAGATTTCCTAAGAGGTCTACGATGAAGGAAAAGAAGGAATGATGAGAAAAGTGGTTAAAACATCACTTTGCACAACCATCTAAGAGAATAAACTAAATGTTTGAGAGAGAAAAAAGGCAGGCTGTAAGGAAAGAAAGTAACCAGTCTTGTTTGAGATCATAAAGGCAGGAAGAAAGTTTTCAGACTGGATAATAAAGATTAATTCAAGATTCCCTGGGGCATGTAAATACTGTAAGAGAAGACTGGGTGACTAAGTGTTTTCCCCATTACTTGTTAATTCAAAGGTTATTCCTGTTTGGCTGAAACGAGAATGACAAAATGTGAATTATGGGTGAGAGGTTAGAATGACAGAAGGTTGGAAATTAGTTGAGACAAGGAGAGTCTAGGAAATAGTCTAGTTGAAGAAGTCCTAGCTATGGAACTCAAGGGGACAAACACCTACTTCTAGCCACTGGTGACTGTGGAAAATTCATTCTCCATTAGGAACTGAGGGTTGAATCTACAGCCTATTCAAAGACTGGTTTCAAAGGACCTGTCCTAAAAGCTGGCCTGCGCATGGTGAAATAACTGAACTAAAAGGGCCAGACATCTTGGTGAAGTGAGGCAAGCTGGTGTTATAAAATGTGCAGTAGACTTAAAGTTAAAAAATATAGAAAGCTCCCATAGTGGTTAAGAACACAGACAATTGAGTCAGGCTGTCAGGGTTCAAATCTTAGTCTTCCACTTCAGAGCCTGAGTTGGCAAAGACAGATTGAGACTCCAAAGTCAGGGCAGGATTAACCTTCACCTTGTTTTGGTTCTTTGATGACAGACCTGCCACAAAGAAAGAAGGAAAAAGGAAAATAGGATTTTCACCAGGAGGAGAAGAGGAATTGGGGGCTAGAAAGCCAGATTTCTTAGCCTTGGGAAAGTAACTTAACCTGAGATTCATTTTATTTTTCTGTAAGATGGAAATGATAATAATATCTACTCATAAGGTTATTGGGAGGATTAATGAGTTAAGGCACACAAAATATTTGAAAACAATTCCTAATAATTAAAAATGCTCAGGACATTTTAGCTATTCTAGACTGGACTCTGCAACTAAATTGTTAAGTGACCTAGGGCAAGTCACTTTTCATTTCTTGGCTTTAGTTTCTTCATGTGTAAAATGGGGTAGTAAAACCTACTGTATATACTAATAGGGCTAAATGAGATGATAAATGTAAAGTGCCTATCTGATTCCTGACAAATCAAAAGTACACATTTTCAACCTGAGAAAAGGTGAATGAAAAACAAATAAAAAATGAGAACCACACAAAAGTACACATTAGGCTGGGTGCAATAGCTCATGCCTGTAATCCCAACACATTGAGAGGCCAAGGTGGGAGGCTCACTTGAGGCCAGGAGTTCAAGACCAGCCTGGTCAAGGTAGTGAGACCCTGTCTCTACAAAAAAAATTTTTTTAATGTAGCTGGCATGGTGCCACACACCTGTAGTCCTAGCTACATGGGAGGCTAAGGTGGAAGAATTGCTTGAGCCCAGTAGTTGGAGGCTGCAGTGAGCTTGATCATGCCACTGCACTTCAGCCTGAGTGACAGAGGGAGACCCTGCCTCTAACAACAACCAAAAAAAGAGTACACATTAAATGTTATATTCTGTTATTTATCTTATAATATGTCAAGGAGATTCCATATGCATCATTGATATAGTTGTCTGTGCCCAAAATAGATTTTGAACTTTCAGCTACCTTCTGTGGATGCACTAGGCTAATCCAGGTAGTGGAAAAGGAAGGGTACAAAAGCCATAGTCTAGTGAGGAGAATTCTGTCTACCTGGTAAAAAGGTAGTAGAAGTCTCAAAATAGAAGAAGCCTCTGTTTAAGGATATAATGCTTAGAGTTTTGACTCAAATGCCAGGGTGAAAGACTTAGCTCTTACGCAACATATGTAATACCACCTCGGGTTTTAGGGGTTAAAGCTACAGAAGATTGGCGATTATCCTAGCAAGGAAATGGCAGAAACTAAAATGGAAAATGAGCTCTGTAAGATGAAACAAAAGAAAGTAGCACGCTGAAATTTAAGTAACCAGGAAAAGAAGGAGGAGGGCAGAAAAGGAATGAAGGCCAGTTAGTCAGGTGGCAATCAGGCTTAGGAGATTCTGAACAAATATTTCCTTGCTCACAATGGTGAATTGATCACAAATGGGATTTTCCAGCTAATGCAAGAACAATGAGATGATCTTCCGGAGTGCAAGTCTCTTAACTACTAGATTAGTCAAGGCTTACTCTCCATATACTACTATACTCACAGTTCCATTAAGCCCAGGTGCTGGCAGGGCAAATTTAGCAATGACCCCTTGCTGTAGTTCCAGATTAGCAGGCCTAGGTGATTTCAGCCAAGTCATTTAATGGCTGTCATAGAAATCTCCTTTTCCTGTCTCTAAAAATAAGTGAAGACAGCTGCAAGGGGAAGGATAAAGGGCTAATTTCAAGTCAGATTAGTTGGAGACAGTTATGGTTTGGCTGTGACCCCACCCAAAATCTCATCTTAAATTGTAATCCCATAATCCTCACGTGTCAAGGGTGGGACCACGTGGAGGTAATTGGATCACAGGGGTGGTTTCCCCCATGCTGTTCTCATGATAGTGAATGAGTCTCATGAGATCTGATTTTATAAGTCTCTGGCATTTCCCCTGTTTGCACTCATTCTCTCTCCTGCTGCCCTGCCAAGAGGTGACTTCTGCCATGATTGTAAGTTTCCTGAGGCCTCCCCAGTCATGTGGAAACTGTGTGTCAATTAAACCTCTTTTCTTTACAAATTACCCAGTCTTGGGTATTTCCTTATAGCAGCATGAGAACGAACTAATACAGAGTCAGTTCGCATTAAGAATACTGGAATTTCTCACACAGATTCCAAATGATCACAATTTATCCTATGGTAGTCAAATAACAATCTAAAACATTACAGCTATCAGTAGATTTTAGCTAACCATATGGCTTAAAGTCTTGAATACACAAGAAAATTTATTTTTCATCTCTCCAGACTTCATTTCTGAGATATCTGGAGCATAACCACTAGATATTTCCATGTAAGGAATGGTAAAATGACTAGGCATGGTGGCTTACACCTGTAATCCCAGCATTTTGGGAGGCTTAAGGGGGAGGATTGCTTGAGCCCAGGAGTTCAACACCAGCCTGGGCAACAAGCAAGACACCATCTCTTAAAAAAAAATGTATGCTAAGAAGAACAGCTAAATGATGTAGCAGAGAGTCATCACAGAAAAGGCCAGTATCCATGGCCCTGCAGAAAGGGCAGTAACTAATTTGCTTTCTCGCCACCATTTCATCATGTGTTTCTGGTTCAGTCTACCCACAGCTACATCCCATGGTTTATATTTAACTTACTTATCATGCTTACTTACAATACCAGCATTCTCCCACTAAACAAAGAGCTCCTTATAGGTAGAGACCATGAGATCAGCTTTTTTAGATGCCACATATGAGTCAGATCATGCAGTATTTGTCTTTCTGTGTCTGATTTATTCACTTAACATAATGTTCTCCAGATTCATCCATGTTGTTACAAAATGACGGATTTACCTCTTTTTTCATGGCTGGATAGTATGGTGGTTACCAGGGGCTGGGAGGCTGATGAGGGAGGAGTTGGGGAAATGTTGATCAAAGGTTACAAATTTCAGTTAGATAGGAAGAATAAGTTCCAGGGATCTATTGTACAACATGGTGACTATAATAAATAACAATACATTGTATTCTTGAAAAATTCAAAGAGTAGATTTTAAGTGCTCTCACCATAAAAATGACAACTATGTGAGGTAATGTATATGTTAATTAGCTTAATTTAACCATTCTGGAAGGGGTTTTGTGTGTGTGTGTGCATTTCAAAACATGTTGTATGCAATAAATATATATAACTTCATGTTAATTAAAAAAACCATTAAAATATTTCAGTAGCTTTTGAGGTACAAGTGATTTTGGTTACATGGATGCATTATATAGTTGTGAATTCTGAGATTTTGGTGCACCCATCACCCAAGCAATGTACACCGTACCCAATATGTAGTTTTTTATTCCTCACTCCATTTGCACCCTCCCCCTTCTGAGTCTCCAAAGTCCATTTTACCACTTTGTATGCCTTTGTGTACTCATAGCTTAGCTCTCACTTATAAGTGAGAACATAACAGTAGCTAGTCTTCCATTCCTGAGTTACTTCACTTAGAATAATGTCCTCCAGCTCCACCCACGTTGCTGCAAAAGACATTATTTCATTCCTTCTTATGGCTGAGTAGTATTCCATGGTGTATATATATATGAAATTTTCTTTATCCACCCATTGGTTGATGCGCATTTAGGTTGGTTCTGTGTCTTTGCGACTGTGAACTGTGCTTCAATAAATGTGTGCATGTGTCTTTTTCACATAATTACTTCTTTTCTTTTGAGTAGATACCCAGCAGTAGGACTGCTGAATCAAATGGAAGATCTATTTTTAGTTCTTTAAGGAATCTCCATACTGTTTTCCATAGAGATTGTACTAATTTACATTCCCACCAGCAGTGTATAAGCCAAATACTTACAACCACATCCTTCTCTTTTCACCATATCCATACCAATATCTTTTTTGGCTATTCTTGTAGGAGCAGGGTGGTATATCATTGCAGTTTTAATTTGCATTTCCCTGATGATTAGTAATGCTGAGCATTTTTTTCATGTTTGTTGGACATTTGTATATCTTCTTTTGAGAAATGTCTATTCATGTCATTTGCTCACTTTTTGATGGGATTATTAGTTTTTTTCTTGCTGATTTGTTTGAGTTTCTTTTAGATTCTGGATATTAGTCCTTTGATGGATGCAGGGTTTACAAATATTTCCCCCCATTCTGTAGGTTATCTGTTTACTCTGATGATTATTTCTTTTGCTGTGCAGAAGCTTTTTAGTTTAATTAGGTCCCATTTATTTGTTTTGTTGCATTTACTTCTGGGGTTTTAGTCATGAATTCTTTGCCAAGGCCTATGTTCAAGAGAGTTTTTCCAAGGTTATCTTCTAGAATTTTTATGGTTTTAGGTGCTGGATTTAAGTCTTGATCCATCTTGAGTTGACTTTTGTATACAGTGAGAGATTGGGATCTAGTTTCATTCTTCTACATGTGGCTAACCAGTTTTCCCAGCACCATTTATTAAATAGGGTGTCATTTCCACAGTTCATGTTTTTGTATGCTTTGTCAAAGATCCGTTGGTTGTAAGTATTTGGCTTTATTTCTCTGTTCTCTATTCCATTCCATTGGTCTACGTTCCTACTTTTATACTAGTACTATGCTGTTTTCGTAACTATAGCCTTGTAGTATAATTTGAAGTCTGGTAATGTGATGCTTCCAGGTTTGTTCTTTTTACTTATGATTGCTTTGGCTATTCAGGGTCTTTTTTGGTTCCATATAAATTATAGAATTGTTTTTCCTAATTTTGTGAAAAATTATGCTGGCATTTTGATAGGACTTGCATTGAATCTGTAGATTGCTTTGGGCACTGTGGTCATTTTCACAGTATTGATTCTTCTTAATCCATGAGCATGGGATATGTTTCCATTTGTTTGTATCATCTATGATTTCTTTCAGCATTGTTTTATAGTTCTCCTTGTAGAGATCTTTCACCTCCTTAGTTAAATATATTCCTAGGTATTTTATATTTTTTGCAGCTGTTTTAAAAGGGATTGAGTGTTCTTGATGCGATTCTTAGCTTGGTGGTTGTTGGTGTATAGTAGTGCTACTGATTTGTGTACACCGATTTTGTAACTTGAGACTTTTCAAAATTCGTTTATTAAATCTAGGAGTCTTCTGGAGGAGTCTTCAGGGTCTTCTAGGTATATGACCACATCACCAGTGAATGGAGATAGTTTGATGTCCTCTTTCCAACTGAGATGCCTGTTATTTCTTTCTCTTGCCTGATTGCTCTGGCTAGGACTTCCTAATGGACTATGTTGAATAGAAATGGTGAAAGTGGGCATCCTTGTCTTGTTCCAGTTCTCAGGGGGAATACTTTCAACTTTTCCCTTTCAGTATGATGTTGACTATGGGTTTGTTATATGTGGCTTTTATTATTTTGAGGCATGTCCCCTTCTGTACCTAGTTTATTGAGAGTCTTTATCACAAAGAGATGCTGGATTTTATCAAATGCTTTTTCTGCATCTATTGAGATGATCATACTTTTTTTTTTTTTTTTTGAGACGGAGTCTTGCTCTGTTGCCAGTCTGGAGTGCAGTGGCACAATCGTGGCTCACCACAACCTCCGCCTCCCGGGTTCAAGCGATTCTCCTGCCTCAGCCTCCTGAGTAGCTGGGACTACAGGTGCATGCCACCATGCCCGGCTAATTTTTGTATTTTTAGTAGAGATGGGATTTCACTATGTTGGCCAGGCTGGCCTTGAACTCCTGACCTCATGATCCACCCACCTTGGCCTCCCAAAGTGTTATATTACAGGCGTGAGCCACCATGCCCAGCCAATCATATGTTTTTAATTCTGTTTATGTGATGTGTCATGATTATTGACTTCCATAGATGTTAGACCATCCCTGCATCCCTGGGATGAAACCCACTTGATTATAGTAGGTTTGATCAACCCACTTGATCTTTCTGATGTGCTGTTCGATTTGGTTAGCTAGTATTTTGTTGATGATTTTTGCATCTATGTTTATCAGGGATATTGGTCTGTAGTTTTCTTTTTTTTTAATGTTCTTTCCTGGTTTTGGTATCAGGGTGATACTGGCTTCATAGAATGTTTTAGGGAGGATTACTTCTTTCTCAATCTTTTGAAATATTTCAGTAGAAATGGTACCAATTCTTCTCTTAATGCCTGGTAGAATTCACATTAGAATCCATCTGGCCCTGGGCTTTTTTATTGCTAGCAATTTTTAAAAATTACTCATTCAATCTCACTGCTTGTTATTAGTCTGTTCAGGGGACCTATTTCTTCCCAACTTAATCTAGGAGAGTTGTATGTTTCCAGGAATTTATCCATTTCCTCTAGATTTTCTAGTTTGTGTGCATAGAGGTGTTGTTAGTAGTCTCGAATGATCTTTTATGTTTCTGTGGTGTCAACTGTAATATCTCCAGTTTTATTTCTAATTGAATTTATTTGAATTTTCTTTTTTCTTGGTTAATCTAGCTAATAGTCTATCAATTTTATCTTTTCAGAGAACCAGCTTTTTTTCATTTATCTCTTGCATTTTTTTGTTTCAATTTCATTTAGTTCTGCTCTGATTTTTATTATTTCTTTTCTTATGCTAGCTTTGGGTTTAGTTTGTTCTTGTTTCTCTAGTTCCTTGAGGTGTGATATTAGATTGTCAACTTGTGATCTTTCCGACTTTTTGATGCAGGCATTTAGCACTATAAACGTTCCCATTAGCACTTTTTTTTTTGCTGTATCTCAAGAGGTTTTAATAATCTGTGTCACTACTGTCATTCATTTAAAAGAATTTTTAAATTTCCATCTTGATTTCATTGTTAACTCAAAAATAATTCAGGAGCAGATTGTTTAATTTCCATGTATTTGTATAGTTTTGAGGGTTTCTTTTGCAGTTAATTTCTACTTTTATTCCACTGTGGTCTGAGAAAATACTTGATATAATTTTGATGTTTATAAATTTATTAAGACTTGTTTTGTGGCCTATCATATGGTCTATCTTGGAGAATGTTAAATGTATTGATGAGAAGAATGTATATTGTGCATATCTTGGATAGAACGTTCTGTAAATATCTGTTAGGTCCATTTGTTTGAGAGTGTCATTTAAAGTCAATTTTTTTTGTTGTTGTTGACTTTGTCTTGATGATCTCTCTAGCACTGTCAGTGGAATACTGAAGTTCCCCACTATTATTATGTTGCTATCCATCTCATTTAGTAGGTCTAGCGGTAACTGTTTTACGAACCTGGGAGCTCCAGCGTTAGGTGCATATAAATTTAGGATTGTAATACCTTCTCGTTGGATTGAGCCTTATATCATTGTATAATTACCTTGTCTTTTTTTCACTGTTGTTGCTTTAAGGTCTATTTTATTTTAGATAAGAATAGCCACTCCTGCTTGCTTTTGGTTTCCATTTACATGGAGTATCTTTTTCTACCCCTTTACCTTGAGTTTATATAAATCCTTACATGTTAGGTGAATCTCTTGCAGACAGCAGATATTTGGTTTGTGATTTTTTTAATCCATTCTGCCAATCTGTATCATTTAAGTGGAGCATTTAAGCAATTTATATGTGACATTAATATTGAGAGGTGAGGTACTGTTCCATTCATCATGTTGTTATCTAGATACTTTGTATTTTTCATTGTGTTATTGTTTCATAGGTTTTGTTAGTTTTATGCTTTCCAGAGGTCCTATTTTGCTGCCTATCAAGCTTTTGTTTCAAGATTTAGAACTCTTTTTAGAATTTCTTGTAGGGCTGGTATGGTAGTGACAAATTCCCTCATCATTTGTCTGAAAATGACTTTATTTCTCCTTCATTTATGAAACTTAATTTTGCTAGATACAAAATTCTTGGCTGACAGTTACTCTGTTTAAGGAGGCTAAAGATAGGACCCCAATCCCTTCTGGCTTGTAAGGTTTCTGCTGAGAAGTCTTCTGTTAGTCTGATGGGTTTTCCTTTACAGGTTAACTGATGGTTTTGTCTCACTGCTCTTAGAATTCTTTCCTTCACATCGACTTTAGATAGCCTGATGACTATATGCTTGGTAATGTCCTTTTTGCAAGGAATCTCCCAGGATTTCTTTACGCTTCTTGTATTTGGATATCTAAATCTCTAGCAAGGTCAGAGAAGTTTTCCTCATTTATTCCTTCAAATAAGTTTTCCAAACTTTTTGCTTTTTCTTCTCCTTCAGGAACATCAATTATTATTAGGTTTGGCCATTTTACTTAATTCCATATTTTTGGAGACTTTGTTCATTTATTTTTATTCTTTTTTATTTTTTCTGATTGGGTTAATTTGAAAGCCTTGTCTTCAAGCTCTGAAATTCTTTCTTCTGGTTGTTCTAGTCTATTTTTAAATCTTTCCATTGCATTTTGTAATTCCCTAAATGTGTCTTTCATTTATGGAAGTTCTGATTAGCTATTCTTCAAGATCTCTATCTCTTTAGAAAATTTTTCATTCATATCCTGAATTTTTTTTTTTTAATTTCTTTGTGTTGGCTTTCACCTTTCTCTGGTATCTCCTTGTACTCAAGGAAATAATCAAAGCTTAATAATCAACCATTCGAATTCTTTATCTGGTATTTCAAATATTTCATCTTGGCTGGGTGTGGTGGCTCACACCTGTAATCCCAGCACTTTGGGAGGCCAAGGCGGGTGGATCACCTGAGGTCAAGAGTTCGAGACCAGCCTGGCCAACATGGTGAAACCTTGTCTCTACTAAAAATACACACACAAAAATAGCTGGGAGTGGTGGCACACACCTGTAGTCCCAGCTACTTGGGGAGGCTGAGGCAGGAGAATCGCTTGAACCCAGGAGGCGGAGGTTGCAGTGAGCCAAGATCACACCACTGCACTCTAGCTTGGGTGACAGAGGGAGACCCCATCACAAAAGAAAAAAAAAAATTCATCTTTGTTTGGATCCATCACTGGAGAGCTAATGTGATCTTTTGGGGGTGCTACAGAACCCTGTTTTGCCATGTTACCAGAATTATTTTTCTGGTTCCTTCTCTTTTGGGTAGACCATTTCTTCTAGTTATTATAGAATTATTTTGATTGTGTTTTTTAAAAATTTCTTTTTACCCTCTTAAGGATCTGACTTTAATGTTTACTGTAGCCTAATTCGGCTCTTGGTGCTTTCAGGGGTGAAGATTCTACGTAAGTTCCTTGGTTACTGGCAGTCTTTGTATGATGGCCTTCTCAGATGCTAGTTTGTAGTAACAATGTGCACAGTATGTGCGCAAGTTTACTGTCTCACAGGGGGTTGGAACAGCAGAGTTCTCTTGAAGCTTACTTATTTCATTCCCCTGTGGTATACACCTTTTTGTTTACTTATTTTTCCCTAGTATTTTATTTACTGGTTGAACAGTCTGGGCTTCAGGCCAGCAGAGGAGGTATCCCTGTGTAGAAACCAGTTGTGGCTGAAGCAGGTGGGTAAATGCAGTACCCAATGGTGGGCAGAGGTCCCAAGTTTGTCAGAGGTGGCTGGGGGAGCTCTCAGTGAGAAACACTGAGGTTTTATCAGGCAGAAGGGTGGGAGCCACCTCAGCTCCCCTGCCAGGCCAGCAGGACACACTCCTGACTGTGTTCTAGCTATTCAGATCAGACAGGTACCTCTTTTCATCTGCAGGAATGTTGATGTTCCAAGTAAGGAAGAATTGTGACTCTACCTCTTGTGCAAGCCTGAACCTGGAGAGTGCTCCTCCTATGGGGATACAGTCACCTTGAAGTGTTCCAGAAATGCTATGCATAGATGCACTCACACCAAGCTCCCATGGGAGAAGCCCCAGCTGTGTCTGCAATGGTGGATGAGGGGGAAAAGAAGTCCCCCTCTCTGAGATTCTTCACAAGCCGCAGGCTTGGTGCCCGGCTGTTGGAGTAGAGCTGCAGACTTTCCCTGCTAAGTCCAGCACTGCAACTGTGCCCCTGCTGAAAGAAACTTCCACCAGCAGAAAGATCTGGGACTCAGGGCCTGCCATCTAGAGTCCTTTGTCCCATGGGGTATTCCCTTGACGTAGTATACTCCCCTTTCCCCTAGAAGTAGGAGTCCCTGAGAGCCAGACTACTGTGAATTCTGTTGCTCTTCTGGATCTAGCCACCTAGAGGGGCTGCCACACTCCAGGCTGGTACTAGGGAATGTCTGCAAGGGATCCAGTGATATGATGTGTTCTCAAGTTTCCCAGAAGCAGGTACTAGCACTGGCTCTGATGGGGTTTGCAGGGGAGTGACATAGACTCTGTGAGATTCCTTGGTTATAGCTAGCCTTAGTGTGTTGGCTTTCTCAAATGCCAGTGGTAGTAAGTAATGACCTGGTCACACGAACAGACTCAGGACCTCCTGGTCGGCTAGTGTGGTGCAGACAATGGTGATAGCTGAGGTCAGGCACAAGTTTCTTCCTTCCCGGGTGCAGTGTTATTCTACCTGGAGGTGCTGTAATGGACTGTGTTGGCCTCTAGCCACAAGGTGGCACTTGGAAAAGAACACCAGCTGTGGTAGTAGTGGTGGGATTTGTGCTTGCCTTATATCTCCAGGGAAGGTATTCTGGTTTCTCAGGCAATGGATAGGGTCATAAAGCTCCCCAAAGTTTCTGTCCTTTGTGTTAAGCTACCAGGGCGGGTGGAGGGGCAAAGCCAGGTGGAGGCTGGATAAGCCAGGTCTGTGCTCTGGCTCTCCACATGCACGGCAAGCAGCGGCCCCTGTGGAGCTCAAGGGACAGTTCTCTGGCCACTGGGATATTATTCCAAGGAGAAGCATAGCTGTTTCTACTGTACAGAAGAGTTCGCACAAGGAGTAAGAGTAGCAGGTGGCAGTAAGTCCCACCCAGCTCTCATTAACATGACAAGACAGATCTGACACTCCCAGTAATCTACTAGCAGCAGCAAGCTAAGGTCCAGGCCATCTTGCTCAGAACTAAAAATTGCCCAGGCCATAAGCCTTCCCTGCAGAGATACTATGTGAGGTACTGCATATGTTAATTAGCTTGATATAACCATTCTAGAAGGTATGTATATATTTCAAAACATCATATTGTACACAATAAATACGTACAATTTCATGTCAATTTATTTAAAAAAGGTAGAGACCATGTTTTTTCTTTTCTTTAAATCTCTGTAGCCTACCGCTTGGCTCAGCATTAGGCTCTGGATATAATAAAGATTTGTTGAATGAACAAGTACACAAGTGAAAAATGCTTAGAAACATGTTCTGCTCAATTGGGGTCAGATTGCTGTCCAAACTCCTCCAGTAGAGGACAATCGCCTCCTCCTTATGGGAAGATCTATATAATCACAGAACAGCTGGACTCAAAGAGGAGCCTCAGCTAAGGCTAATGGTTTGTTGACACTTCTATGCAAAAGTCAGCAAACCAGAGGATATTCAGCATGGCTGTAGAGGGTGTGTAGAATGCAGTGTTAAGAAGAGCTTTGAGAAGAAGCTCACTAAAGTCTGGAATGTCATGAAAAGTCCAGCTCCTGAGCTACTACTGATCTCCTGCACCTCTAAGTCTGACCATCCCCTAAAGCTTCATTAATTTTTCTGTCTGAGTTAAGCAAAAACAAGTCTAAAATTGTTCAAAGGAGCCTAAAGAAAATCAAAATAATCATAAAAGCTGTCCAATTTATTAACAAGGGTCCATAGAAGGTTGGTTTGGCTGGCACAATTTAGGACATGCTCAAAAACCAAAGGCCCTATTCCCTACTCCCTTTACAGACCTTTGGCTTCTCCCTTTCTGTAGGGCAGAAGCTGACAGGAACATCCAGGCGGATGGAAATTGGGAGTTGTGCTTTCGTACTCTGACCACATTTGGAATCTGGGACCAATGATTTCTCATCAATGCAGTAAAGGTAAAATCAGGCTTGTATGACTGAACTGCTAGACATTACTTTCAGTGCTTCTCCATCATAAAACCTTCCCTGGGATAGCAGACGAGGGTTTGGGAGTTATATGAAAAGCCGTCAGTTAGAAACAAAATGCCTTGGTGATGCTAAAAAAGCAATTTAAATCTAAAGGATTCAAACCTTAACCCCTTCTGTTTAGGGTTGCCAGATTTAGCAAATAAAACATTCAGATACAAGATAAGTATGTCCCAAATATCAGATGGGACACACATACTAAAAAGTTATTTGTTTATGCAGTGGCATGATCTCGGCTCACTGCAACCTCTGCCTCCTGGGTTCAAGCGATTCTCCTGCCTCAGCCTCCCGAGAAGCTGAGATTACAAGCACGCGCCACCATGCCTGGCTAATTTTTGTATTCTTACTAGAGACGGGGTTTCACCATGTTGGCCAGGCTGGTCTTGAACTCCTGATCTCAAGTGATCTGCCCACCTTGTCTTCCCAAAGTGCTGGGATTACAGGTGTGAGCCACCGTACCCGGCCACTGGGAACTTTTGATCTGTCTTTTCTAAACAACTTTATGAGGTAAAATTTATAAACCATACAATTCACCTATTGAAAGTATAAAAATTAGTGGTTTTTAGTATGTTCACAGAGTTGTGCAACCTAAATGTCTACTTTTGTGTTTATTTAATGCTCTTTTGTAGAGTATTCTGTTACTAAGACTCTGATTAACTTTCCTGTCTACATGCCACAATATCTATGCCCTCTTCCTTCCTAGAGTCCTTTTTCTTTTTTTCCTTTTCTGTCCTTTCTTTTTAGTTTCTCCAACTTAGTTATTTTCCATTTGTGATTACACTTTTTTCTTTTTATTAATTTTAAGAATTACCCAAAGTAATATAAAAATACATTTCCACTGTAAAAGATTCAAAAACAAAAATATATACAGAAAAAATTTAAAGTTTCCTTTCCTGTGCCTTCCACTCCTTCTTTTCCTAAGGAAACCACTATAAATAGATTGGTGTATATCCTTTAGGTCCCTTCCATTTCAAGGAATTTATACACAAATATTTATGTATATATACACATCTCTCTATATATATATTTTTAATGAGATCCTACTACATGTATTGCTCTGCAAGTTACCTTTTTCTTTTTACACTATGTATTGGTCATCTTCCCTTGTCAATATGTATAGATTTACTCCAACCTTTTGAATTACTACCTAGTATTATTAAGCTACCTTTTGATAACTGTTGATAATTTTTATTGTTGTCTTGTGGTGGTGGTGGTGGTGATGAAGATGGTATTTACAGAAGTGTGTGGAAGGTAAAGGAAAGGGAAAGGAGAAATATAATAATGGGACAGTCTTGCAAACTCTCTAGGACAGAGAGAACTCTGAAGGCACTATGCTAGGCAGACAATCTAATGGAATCACACAACATAGATGTAAAACAGCAAAGCATGTCAAGGCAGGGTGTACATAAGATGTTAAATGAATTGTAGAGACCCAAGATAATTAAAATTGTATGTCCACACAAAAACTTTTACACATGTTTACCGCAACATTACTCATAATACCCAAAAAAATGGAAACAATTCAAATGTCTATCACCTGATGAAGAGATAAGCAAATTGTGGTATATCCAAACACTGGAATAGTATTCCGCCATAAAAAGGATACATACTACAATAAGGATGGGCCTTGAAAACATAAGTGAAGGAAGCTAGTAACAAAAGGCCACATTTTATATGATTCTATTTATATGTCAAGTCCAGAAAAATCCATTAGTGGTTGCCAGGGTATAGGAGAGCAGAGGAAAGAACTGAGAGTGAATGCTAACGGGTATAGGGTTTCTTTCTGGGATGATGACAATGTTCTACAATTAAGTTATGGTCATGGTTTCAAAACTCTGAATATATTAAAAATCACTGAATTACATGCTTTAAAAGGGTGTATTTTGTGACATGTTAATTGTATCTCAATAAGGCTATTATTTTAAAAAACTGGGCCAGGCATGGTGGCTCACACCTGTAATCCCAGCACTTTGGGAGGCCACTTGAGTGGCCTCCCACTCAAGTGGGTGGATCACTTGAGCCCAGAAGTTTGAGACCAGCCTGGGCAACATAGTGAGATCCCATCTCTATAAAAAAGTACAAAAATTAGCTGGGTGTGGTGGCATGTGCCTTTAGCCCCAGCTAGTTGGGAGGCTGAGGTGGGAGGATCACTTGAGCCCAGGAGGCTCAACCAATGAGCCTCAAGTTGCAATGAGCCAAGGTCACACCACTTCACTCCAGCCTGGGCAACAGAGTGAAACTCTGTCTCAAACAAACAAACACTGTAGAACCCAAGCACTACAGGAATTCAAGAAGGAGAGATAAAGGGGGGCAGGGCAGAATTGTTGGAAAGAGCTTCATGGAGAAGGACTTGCACTAAACTCAAGAGACGAACACAGGTTAATTAGGTAGAGATGCAGGGGACAGTTCTGTAGGCAGGAAAAAGGACTTAATGAAAGGGTTGGCATTGAGACTAGACAAGTTGTATGATAGTACAGTAAGTACGAAAATCTGAAGGAGGCAGAAAACAAGAACTTCAAGTCAGGACTTTAATATTAGGATAATGATATTAAACTTTATCTCAGAGAATCCTACAAAGATTTTGAGTAGGGGAAAATGTGATAAACTGGAAGTTCAGAAACATTAATATGATAGATTTACAGGGGAACGGAGTGCAGACAGAAAGACCACTTAAAAGACGGCTATAATAGTCAACACTTAAAATGATGAAAGGCTGAACTAAGAAGTGGTAGAAAATAGAAAGGAGAGGCCCGGCATGGTGGCTCACGCTTGTAATCCCAGAACTTTGGGAGGCCAAGGCGAGTGGACCATTTGAGGTCAGGAGTTCAAGACCGGCCTGGCCAATATGGCGAAACCCCGTCTCTACTAAAAATACGAAAATTAGCTGGGCATGGTGGTGCATGCCTGTAATCCCAGCTTCTTGGGAGGCTGAGGCATGAGAATCACTTGAACCAGGAGGTGGAGGTTGCTGTGAGCTGAGATCGTGCCACTGCACTCCAGCCTGGGCAACAGAGCAAGACTCTGTCAAAAAAAAAAAAAAAAGAAAGAAAGAAAAAGAAAAGAAAATAGAAAGGAGAGGGTAGACAACCAAGATGTTAGAACTGGCCAGTATTTATGTACTGTAGATTTTCCAACCAGAATAGGCCTGAAGATTCTGAATATTCAAAATAGTGTTACCTGCCAAATGATTGGGTTTAGCACTGTCGTTTTGTAAATTCAGTGGAATAGGCCAAAATCTTGGGTAAACCAGTATTAATTGCTTACTGCTCAAAATAGCAGAAGCAGTAAATCTACCTGCAATAGGTAGTCCTAGCCTACCTGTAGGGATTTACCAGGAAAACTGGTTTCAACTCTTTTTCCTTGGTAAAAGGTTTGGCTTTTGAAATAACACACATTTATAGATGAAGTTCTTAATTATCTTTCTGATTGAAAGTGTCAAGCTCTTATAGATTATTTTGATTATTTTTTACACATTTACCAGTGTTTATCATGTGGCAGATACTGTCCTAAATGCTTTATAAATATTACCTAATTTAATCCTTACAGCAACCTTATGTGGCAGCACTTTTATTATTATCCCCATTTTACAGAGGAGGAACTGTAGCAGAGAAATTAAGAGATTTGCCCAAGATAACGTGGTAAGTGGTGGAGCTAGGATTCAAACCTAGACGGTATGACTCCAGAATTCATGCTCTTGACTACTATACTTCCCATATGGTATTTATTTCACTGCATTTATGGCAGATATTTTATATTTATTGGTGCTATTAAATATGCTGTTAATTAATGTTTCCCCTCGCTAAACCATAATCTCGCTAAGAGCAGAAATTCTGTCTAGTTTTGTTGCCATTGTATTGCCATACCTAGCACAGTGGCTCGCACTTATTTAATAATCAATAAATATTTGTCGAATGAATTGATCAGTCTTTATTGATGATTATTACATTTTTCATTTGCCTGGAACTTACCACACCCTAAAGTATTCTGGCTCTCCATATTTTCTGTTCATAAGAATATGCAGAGCAGTTGATTATCTTCTGGGTCCTTTAGCCCTTTAGCTCTCCTGAGGGTAGCAGAGGACTCCCTGGTTTTCCTTTGGATGGAAGTTTCCTGACTTTCTACTTCTGGAACCAGGGCCAGTGTCCTTGACATGGGCTTCCTCCAGGATGAAATCGGACAACTGCCCAATGACAGCAAGTAAAGAAAGTATACTCGCCTATAATCCCAGCACTTTGGGAGGCCAAGGCGGGTGGATCACGAGGTCAGCTGGAGAACATACTGGCTAACGCAGTGGAACCCCGTCTCTACTAAAAAAAAATACAAAAAATTAGCCAGGTGTGGTGGCGGGCACCTGTAGTCCCAGCTACTTGGGAGGCTGAGGCAGGAGAATGGCGTGAACCTGCGAAGCGGAGCTTGCAGTGAGCCCAGATCGCGCCACTGCACTCCAGCCTGGGCAACGGAGCGAGACTCCGTGTTACTAAAAAAAAAAAAAAAGAAAGAAAGTACACTGTGACCTTCAATCAGTGAACTGATTTCATTCTGCACTTTCTCCATTCCTCAAAAGGAAGCCTAAATCTAAATCTTCCTTTTTCAAAATTTCACATTAGAAATAATTTGTTGTTGTTGTTCTTACATAACAGGCAGTTCCATTCTGAAAGATGGCTGGAGTGTGATTATTCCTGCTCCCTTTAGGATTTTTTTTTTTTTTAAGATAGAGTTTCCCTCTGTCACCCAGGTTGGACTGCAATAGCACAATCTTGGCTCACTGCAACCACCACCTCCCAGGCTCACGCGATTCTTGTCCCTCAACCTCCCAAGTAGCTGGGACTATAGGCATGTGTCACCATGCCTGGCTAATTTATTTATTTATTTATTTATTTATTTATTTATTTATTTATTTTATTTTTAGTAGAGACAGGTTTTGCCATGTTGGCCAAGCTAGTCTTGAACTCCTGGCCTCAAGTGATCTGCCGGCCTTGGACTCTCACAGTGCTGGGATTACAGGTGTGAGCCACCACGCCCGGCCTCCCTTTAGAATCTTGATTCACCAAAGGAAAGCACAGAAATGGTATGGAAATCCTCCCTTACTACAGAGACAGATCCATTTGTTCTGTCCACAAAAAGGCTGCAAAGGAGGACCTTATCTGCCTCAGCAGCCTTTTTTCACACTGATCACCTCTTTTTAGCAGGAGGCAGTTATGAAGAATGGGGAGAGAAGGAAAGGTACACAAGCTTTACTGGTGAATTTCCAAATATAAAAGTTAAGAGAGTACTCAAATTAGGATTTTCAGATGATAAAACAGTGGAGCTTGTACTTCTAAGTACAAAGTATTTACTTTTGAAAAATATATTTCCTTTCCTGATCAGTTGTTTGGTAGGTTAACAATCTGATTGCCAGGTTGATCTGCCATATGTGCATGTATACACACACACACACACACACACACACACACACTTCAGAGGTAATAATAATGACATACTCAGATACATTTTCCTGAGTTTACCTACGTTCATCTTGTCTGTCCTCACTTGGGCTTTTAAATAGAGACATTGCAGAGTAGACCAACTATAATTCCATGGAATTTCTATAAAGGAAATAAAGATTCAGAATATGAGAATTTCTCATGCTGATACTGTGTCATTCAAACACATTCTTAAGAAACTTGGAACTTGATCCCTGAAGTCCAAAATGATCTATCTCTAAGACACATATGGTAGTTTGGAATTCACTTTATTTATCTTCATCATAAAGTTATAGTTTCAAAGCTTGGGAAACAGATTTCATTTCCTGACAACTAAGTTGAAGTTGATGACTACAATTGTCAGAAAAGTCATCTGAAACCTAGAAACAGGTGAAATAAATTATTGGATGATCTTTTAGTACAGTTTTGTGTTTATATCTTTGATTAGTTTTCTATTGACTGGACTATTTTATAACTCGTTAGGGCAGAGGTTAACTTATAGATTTTCATCTAGTAGTGATAAAAATGTTTTATGTCTGGTGGAAAAGATGACTCCAAAATTTATGACTTATTGCACTTTAGGACCTTAATTAGTTTTGTATATCATTCAGAAATCGTATTTTAACATTCCTTTATTAAATTGCCTATAAATATTTAGCTCTTAATTTTTCATTTGAACTGATCTTAATATCTTACTGGTTCCCTCATTAATTAATAAATAAAATATTGGAGACCTATTAATTTCGTATTTATATAAAAGTCAAATTTTTTAATACTTGGAAAAATTATACTTTATCAAACCCCACGATTTGCTATACAGACATATCCTTCTTTGCTTCCTATTTTTCTCTCCATTCTTAACCCAACTCAGAAAAGGCCAATAAAGTATATGTATTTTAATCAATTTCTTTCAGGTCCCCTAAAGTACAGATGAGTCAAGACTAGAAAACTAGAGGTTACCTTGCTTAACTTCCTTATTTTACAGATGAGGAAGTTCAGGCTCACACAGGGAAAAAATCTTTCTCACACAGCTATATAGTGGCAGAGTTAAATCTAGAATACAGATTCTTCCTACTACTTCACCATGCTTTGACGCTGCACTGGGTAATGAGTAGGCACTTAATATGCTGACGACTCATTCTTAAATTTATAAGGGGTTTTTGTCTCTTTTGGTTCAATGCTAGGCCTCATGTCTAGATGAATACCTGGCACATAGTAAGCGCTCAAAAAATATCTGTTGCATTTGAACCTAGTACCAAGCAAGACAAATTCCTTGGAAGTTAATTAGAACTCAGAGGATCATTTATAATAATCCCCTATACACTTAGAGAAAATGTATAGTTTTCAAAGTGCTTTCATATATATGAGCCCATTTGATCCCTCTGAGGTAGACATGGCAGGAGTTATTAGTCCTAGATAACAGATTCAAGTTATTGAGGCTCTGAGAAGTTAAAGGTCATCTCCTGACTAGAATGTAGCAGAACTGGGCCCAATCTTCTGACTCCTACTTCAATACCATCTCCACTATTTGTTGCTTCTTCAACTTTGCCTGTCTGCTTCTGGGCTTGGGAGGATCATTCAGGGAGTTAGTCCGAATATTCACAATGAATACGACAGCGACAACTTACGCTGAAAGATGTGATTTTTCTTTCTTAAAAGTCCATTGTTAAAGGTACTTCTGTTCTAATTCTGATTAGATATAGCCTACAGAAATTAGCGGCTAATTCAAATCTGAAAGCTTGCTGAAGCCATGGGTAGCCAGCCAGAGTTTGATTCTTCCCTCTAGAGTAGGTATCCTATGCCAAAGAGTGGGAGGGAATGATAGCAAACGTGCCACTTCAGATCAAGTATGGGACAAGGATTATGACTTCTTCGAGAATCTGCACAGTGCTGGAAAAGTGGAAAACTCCCTGAGTTAACAAGAATGTGCAATTGCTGGAGCTTTGGGGGTATCTCTTCATGAAATAACTGGAAAAATGTGTGCCCTTTAGGAGTTACATGGGGGATAAAGCTCCCCTTCCTTAGATAATCTCGACAAATATGTCCTCTGTGGGAGTGTCTGGAAAACCAGTATACTCGAATATGGGGAGTTGTCTCAAGAAAGTATAAGGATAGACAGCTACTGGAAATACTGAGAGGGGACAGTCTCTCTTCAAGGAATATTGGGAGGGAGAAGGCGATAACTTCTACTCGGGCACCCACTTTGGGAGCCTCTTGCTCACCGTCGCCGCCCGGCCTCCAACTCCGGCAACTGCCATCTCAACGCACCTTCCTGCGCAGACGCCCTAGAGACCCAGGTTCCGGCGTAGAGCAGAGCCCCGCCCACAAACCACGCCCATCTCCCATGAGCCCGCCTCTGGCCACACCCCTACCCTCAGGTGCCAGACCCACCGTTTCTCCATGGAGAGGGCCCCTAGGGGCCGATCTGGCTTTGAAGTACCCGAACTATGCTGGCCGCTGGGGAAATGGAGATACAACACTCAGATCCTGCCTTTGGGTAGATCACAGGCTGATGAGGGGAAAGAGACAAGTAAATTATAACAATGTAGAGTGCTGTGGGGAGGCGTCCAGATAGCAGAGCCTAGAAAGCAGTGGAAAAGGCTGGCAGATTTTCCAGCAAGGGGAGCAGCATGTGCAGGCACGGAGGGGTAGGAGCACACAGTGCTTGTCGGGGACCTGCCGGGGCAGTACTTTAGAACAGCTGCAGGATAGGGGCAAGGGGGGCGGTGCCGGCTGCGCTATCTTGGAGGGTCTTGGAGTTTCAGCCTGGAGGCTATGGGTGACCACTGAATAGTTTAATAGGAGAAGGACTTTATATTGGAGTGCGTGAAGAGAGCAGGGTAAGAACGGAAGCAGGGGATTATCACAGTAACTCAGGCATGAGGACCTAAAAGCTGCCACGACTCTTGTGGTGGTGGGAACTTGAGGCGACCCAATGGATTCAAGAGGTAATTTTGAGGCAGAAATGTTAAGTGGCTGGCTTGGGAGAGGAGCGGGGAGGAGGAAGTTTTTAAATGAGCAACTGAACTCTAAGGATTTATTTAGCAAGCAGTGGAAACGGAGCTAGTTCCCTGTCTGGTGCCCCATTAGTCCCTGCCCCACAAGTAGTGTTAGTGCAGGTTGAGAGTAGGTGAGCACTCTCTTTCTTGTTTCAGCTTTTCCCATTTCCACGCCATGAGGCCTTTTACCTTATTTCTTCCCCTTTGGGAGTGGGCTTTCTACTGCAGCTCTTCTTCCTCGAATAGAGCCTGAATGAAAGTCCAAGGTACAGTCCTAAGCCTAATCTTCTGTCCTGTCTGTGGCAGCCTCAGTCCTCTGCCAAGACGGGCAGGCACACCTCTCCCCAGTGGGCCCCTGCCTTGTCCTCACAACCCAGGCTGTGATCTGTCCTAGTGATTCTAGACAAAGGGAAGAGAAGCATGGACTAGTTTTCACCAGAATACCTCTCCTGCTACTCTTTTGGACCTTTTGTAGGAAGCTGGTGCCGTAGGTCCCATGACTCTGTTAATTAGATTGGTGGTCTCAGGTCTAGGACAGGATGTTAGCCCAGTGGTGTTTATCCAGAACCACTTTAGGCTTCACCCACTGGCTGTCAGGTATGGGGGTGGAGGAGTGTGAAGCAGCAAAGGACCATTAGGCCAAAATCTACCATTATAAAGGACAGTCATTTCCATGGCTTTCCACACATTAGCAGAATTACCAAACCCCAAAGGCTGCTATAAGATAATTTATTACAGACTAGCCTATAATCTCCTGTAACAATGGCACATATAATAATTAACAACAGCAAAGATGCTTGGTTTCTTGTTTCATGTAATGGCCAGTACATCTGTGGACAATGTCGAGTCCTCAGGAAGTCCAGGAGGCTGCTACAGAGGAAATCCAAGAACCATGTCACATCTCTCAACAAGTCTTGGGAAGTCCATCTGACTCTCTGAAACAGTTTGTCTCTGACCTCCCAGGAAGTGTGGAGGGCCCCTTCCATCCAGCCTGTACAGAGGGATCAGAGTCCAGGCTCCTTCTATAGGGTTGAATATCAGAGGGGAATAGCAAATGACCCCGATGAGAGAGAGAGAGACCAAAGGCTAGATTCTTTCTGCAAGGTGGAGGACGGCTAGAAGGCAGTGGCCACAGATGAGCAGGACTTTTTCTAGACTGGTTTCTACAATTTTTGGCTTTGTTCAGGGCCCACCCAAGAAGAAAATACTCCTGGATCCTTCAACTAGCCCTCAGGTAGACACATGTTAGAACAGCCTGTCACGTCCTGAAGCATCACTCCCCTGCCTAGAGGAGTGAGGCAGGGAGACTCCCAGGCAGGTGGCCCCTAGTGCCTGGGGTCCAAAGAAATATTCTTCTCAGGGCTTTGAAGCACCACGTGAACCTGATTCTACTCATGATACAATCTGGGGAAAGGGATTAGTACAGTTCATTTCTAGAAGTTATCTTGTTCAGTTTCAAAGCCTTGTTCTCACTGGAGCCACAGAAAATCAGTGGATTCTACTCAAGGGACAGTCTAAATTCTATTCTGTGTACTCCTGCCCTGGCCATACTCCAATCCAGACCACCGGGCTCAGCAACAGGCTCAGCTGACTACCCAGCCAGCCAGGCACAAGTTCCACACCTTCTAAACTTGTTCTTCTAATGATTGGTATGTATGTGTCTAACTGGATAAGGTGTGGCATGGAGATGGGTAGAGGTGGGATGAGGAGTGGAGAGGTGTCTACCAAGAATGGCTGACACTCTCAGAAATGTTTGTCCTTCTCTCTTAATGGAAAATCTCTCCATGTGGTAACCCCACATCCCAGCCCCTAGTACCACAGTCCTGTTGGGCCAGGGCTTCATGACCCTTTCTGTGAAAAGCCATATTATCACCACCCCAAATTTTTCCTTAAATATCTTTAACTGAAGGGGTCAGCCTCTTGACTGCAAAGACCCTAAGCCGGTTACACAGCTAACTCCCACTGGCCCTGATTTGTGAAATTGCTGCTGCCTGATTGGCACAGGAGTCGAAGGTGTTCAGCTCCCCTCCTCCGTGGAACGAGACTCTGATTTGAGTTTCACAAATTCTCGGGCCACCTCGTCATTGCTCCTCTGAGATAAAATCCGGAGAATGGTCAGGCCTGTCTCATCCATATGGATCTTCCGGCCCAAGGGGCACCAGCAGGCACAGCTGCCCTTGGCTGTGACATCCCTCAGAGGCATCACAGCCAGCCCTAGCACGCGATCTTCCCGGGCAAAGCAGTAATCCTTCACGCATATCTGCAACTCATAGGACTCGGGCCCCTCCTCATTTCCCAGGAGGCTGTGAGCACAAGATAGAAGTTATGAGGCCAGAGTTGAGTCTTCAGCTGATTTCACCCCAGTCTGCCATCCCCCCGGGCCCTCCTCTCCCCCCACCCCTCAAGTCTTACCCCCATCCCAGAGTCCTGTATGTCCCCCCCGTAACTTACAAGTGGAATGTCTCATTGTACTTGGGGGCCCAGTTGTTGCTTTTGGATTTGGTTGTGAACTTCCTCTTCTTATCACTTTGGTGTGGGCCAACCATAGTCACCTCCACGAAAGGCCGGAACATACCCGCTGTCTGCCACTTGAGGTCATTGGCAGCCACCACTGCCCAAACAAGGGAAACCTGTGAGGGATCCCACCAGGATTTCCCAGTTCTTGAACCCCAGGTGACCTTCCCCTTGGAGGAGGGCTGAGCTGGAGGGCTGGGATGAGCAGCCCCTGCTTTTGAGTGATGAGTGAGGCCACTGGGCAAGGAAAGGGCAGACCTGTAAGTCCATCACTCACCTTTCACTGTGACCTTGTGCTCCCCAGTACCAGGGTGTGTAAACAAGTCCACCTGAATAGAGACTTCTCCCACAGGATCGTCCACACCAGACCCTGAGGGACAAATGGAGAGATGATTCCCCATTGGAGAACTGTAGGAGGTAAACCTGAGGGGTGAGGAGGTCACCACCCTATACCCAAAAGCAAGAAGCAATCACCACAGTAACCATGGGAAGTAAGCAATAGGAGAAGGGAAAGAAATGGGATAAAGAACAAGGCTGTGTCTTGTAACACAAGTTAAGCTGACAGCATCTTAGGCGCAACATTTTCCAAAAGTGCACTAAGACTCTCTCTCAAGGATCCCCAAAACTCTTATCTCCTAGGCTGAAGGACTTTTAACTGAAAGACGTTGGGGTAGGGCAGTGCCATCACCTTGTATCTGTGTCTGGGAATTATGTTGACCTGGTAGTGTCTCTTAATGGAAAAATGTGGGTCCTCTCTAGCCAAAAGCAGCAACCTCCCACCTATGCCCAGGATTCCTAGAGGTCCCTGCTTGGGAGGCTGCTGTGCTCTGAAATACTTCATCCCCCTCAAACCTGGGCCCCTCTATAGAATGAACTCCCCAGTTCCAATCTCTGAAAAGAGCCAATCTACAGGCTCCCCTTAGCAGAGACCCCACCCTATTTTAAGAAAACACCTGGCCAGGTGCAGTGGCTCACACCTGTAATCCCAGGACTTTGGGAGGCTGAGGTGGGGGGATCACGAGGTCAGGAGATTGAGACCATCCTGGCTAACATGGTGAAACCCCGTCTCTACTAAAAATACAAAAAAATTAGCTGGCAGTGGTGGCAGGCGCCTGTAGTCCCAGCTACTAGGGAGGCTGAGGCAGAACAATGGTGTGAACCTGGGAGGCGGAGCTTGCAGTGGGCAGAGATCGCTCCACTGGACTCCAGCCTGGGCGACAGAGCGAGACTCCGTCTCAAAAAAAAAAAAAAAAAGAAAAAAAGAAAACACCACCACAATCTTACACCCCAGAGAAAATCCTTCTTTGTCCTGAGGTGGAGGGGTGGGAGAATGCTGAGAATACGACAGAGATCAACAACAGAACCCCTTCCTGGGCTATATGAAGGCATTACCCATCTCTAAGACTTGAGATAGAGCTCCTAAACCTTGACAGCTTGTTCCCCCACCCCCAGCACGAGTTGCTCATTCTAGCTCCCAGGGGTCAGTGTTAGCCCATGTTAGATCCATATCTGCACGGTGTACAACATACCCTTTTCCGGACGAATGTCCTCATTAGCAGTAAATCTAATACCTTTCCCATCATGCACTGAATGAGGACAGGCAAGTCAGAGGTAGTAGCAGCAGCAGAACAGAGAAAGAAGAATCCGTTAGCAGTCTAAGGAGTTAACAGCCATTCAAAGCAGCTCTACACATATTCTGAGGGAGCACAGAGGTGGGGCAGAGTGGAGAAAGAAGTGAAAGAGCTGCAGTCAGTGTGTGAATGCTCCAAATTAGACTTCATGGGTCAGAGACCAACCAAATCATGGGCAGAAACAGTAGAAAAATACAGAGAGGAGGTATCTGAGACAAGCAGGACAAGAGACAGGCTGTAGGCTTTAATTTCCTAGACCCTTAAATGATAAAGCAACGGGTAGAAAATGCACACGCATACACATGGATTCTTCCCGCAGTTGCCAACCCTGCTCTCATCATATGTGTGCTCATTCCAGGCTCTCCTCATCTTTTATCAAGCTTAAAGCTCAATGCTTCTAAAAAGCCTTTCTGGATTAACTCAGATCTTCCTTGATGGTGTATGCCTGAACATGTACCCAGCTCTGTAAAAGTTCTACCTGTCCACTTAAGTGAGACTCACAGCTCTTCTTTTGCTCTCTATTCTTCCCTCCCTGGATTGGAAATGAGAACAGATGGGGAATAGAGCAGTACTTTCGGTCCCTTCCATTTTCTTACTTTCCATCACCAGTCTACCTGCTTAGAGCCCTCTCCCCTCTAGGTCAGCCCTGTGCCCCAGATTCACACACAGCTCAGTAATGCCTAAGCGCCAACTTCCCCCACCAGGTTCACTCCCCCAGGCAGCCTGCTCAGGTTTCCTTGGAACAAGCAGTAACAAATGTGCCTGAGGTGCCTCCTGGGAGGGCTCTGCTCCAGCGTCAGAATTTCAACCTGAGCTACATCTATGCAGATGTGTTTTGTTTTGGACAGGCCATGCTGGAGGTAGGGAGGGGTTCTGAGGACTGAAAGTCACTGGGAGAAAACCGGCTTCCTGGGTCCCCTGTGCATAAACAGCACCCCTGAGACTGGAGCCTCAGCTGTGCACAGGGCCCCAGGATCCACACCCTCCCTTCAGCAGCTGCCATGGTTTGCCTCTCTTCCTTGTCTCCCTATCCATGCTGCAGAGTCTGGAAAGTCTTTTGCCTTCTCTCCCCAGAACAACTCCCAGCAAAGCTCCACACACTATGAGCCTTCACATTTCTCATGGCTTCCATTCATTCTCAAGGCTTCCTCACAGATTTTTCATTCTTGCCGCTTACCAGTCAGGGTATATTCCTTGAGTTTAATAAACATGCATGGGCCAGGCAATGTCTGGGAAAAGAAATCTTAGACATATTTCCCAGGCCTCTGTGATTCTCCTGCCTGGTAATGGGTATGGGGTGGAGGTAAGTACTGAGGTCCCATCAAGCAATAGAGATCTGAATTTGAAGGGCTCTCTGAAGAAGTAACTGGATCTGCTCCCAAGGGCATGAAGATACAGACTCCCTAGGGGAAGATGTGTATCAGAGAGGAGAGGTGGATACCCAAAGCCCTCAGGGCCTTACCTTGGGTGGTCTGCGAGCGCACAAAGGTCTTGATGAGAGTGTCAGTAGTCTGTGTGTACAGAGACAGGGCATAGCGTAGAGACTGCAGATCTGGGCTCTTCTCCAGGAAGGTTTTCTTCAGCCCATTGCCTCCTGCATGGAAGTATTGCTGCAAGATAAAAGAGCACCCGTGACTGCTTCATCCCCTTACAGAAAGCAGCTCCCCAACATTGTCCTCAGAGAAGCAAGAAGAGGACTGTGAGAATAGGCTGTTCAGGAACACCCACAGAACCAGAGCATAGGCTCTTGGATGAGTATTATTTGGGTATTTGGCAGGATTAGTAGGGGATGGCCACATTCCTGGAGGTACGGCAGTGTTTGAAGGATGGGTCTTTCTGGACAGGCACAGAAATGGAATAGAAACACTTCAGGCACGGAGAAGAACCAAAAGTGCTCTTTTACCCATCTGAACCTTAGAGAACTTGAGACCTATGACATACCTCTCCCAGGTGCCTTGAAGCACAGTTCATATGTTCCTGCCTTATATCACCTTACCAATGATAAGCATCTTGAATTTAGGAACCATATCTGATTCTGTATCCTTGGCAGTACATAGTAACTCTCTTCTGGATGTGGAGTGTTAAGAATTGGAGGGACACCTGGTCTGGGAGAGTGGAATGCCAGGGCCAAGTGAGTGTGGTGGTTAAGACTGTCTGAAAAAGGGGGGGCCTCCACCTTGATGGTGTCCAGGGCGAGGTCAAGGACTGCACACTGCTTTGGAGTGAGATTCCGTGTTTCCTCTCGTACCATGTGATCCTGTTCAGAGAAATCAGCAGCATCAGGACAGCTCACAGCAGTCATGAAAGTCTTGCACCCACCTGCCAGCCCCCAGTGCATATTCATCTCCTCCTTTTCCTCTTCAGTCTCCAAAGCTCCAATTTCCTTCCCCGCAGCCACCCTCTCTCCATGACTTCAGAAGGACCACACCTGCCAGGAGGACCCCACACCCAGAGTACCTTGAGTTTGGAAAGATGGCTCAGCTCCTTGGCAGCAGTGAAGATCAGCTGGGTGCCCTGGGCAGAGAGGGAATCAGTCAAAAGCAGAGGACCCCAACTCCATCAGGAAGCAGGGAGTGAGGGGAAGGGAGACAGCAGGAGGAAGTGGAAGGAGGTGTCCTTACCGTCTGGTCAGTGAGTGGGGGCAGAACAATCATCCTCTCCATTGTGTTCATCACCACGCGCCAGAGCTCCTTCAGTACACGCTTCAGAACCGTCTTCTCACACACAGTGGCAAAGAGGGTGAGGCTGCAAGTCCAGGCAACAGGTGAGACCAGGGTGAGAGTTTGAGAACCCCTCTCCCCAAGGGGCTCCCTTGCCCGATAGCATCTGCTTTGCTCATCCCCACAGGATAGTCCTGAATGCTGTACTCACTTGCCATCCAGGAAGTCCATGAGAGGCCGGAGTACGCTATCTGCATCCTGAGCCGCTGAGGCCCTGGCGTCTGGAGATGCATTCCCTGTGCCCCGAACCTGGCCCAGGATGTCGGCCATTTGTCGAACACACTCATCAATCCGTACCTGGAAACTACACATGTGCCCGCAGTGTAGCCTTTCCCTCCCCAAACACACACTGTCCCTGGAGCGGCACCAGCTATTTGGTCCCATTCCCATATGCTCATGGTGCATTTCCAGCAGGGACAGTCAGCAGGAGTACAGGGAAGATCCACACACCTGCAGCTATATGGAGAGGTGTGGGGCAAGGGCTCTGGGATTGGCTAGGGACCACATCTGGCTCTGAGGGCCTTGTATTGTGGGGTCACTGACCTGTTTCCAAACACCATGCTGAGCTCATCCAGAACCGTATTCAGTTTCACCTGCAGCTCCTTCAGACTGTCTGCAGCTTCAAGGTCCAGCTGTATTCACAGGAGGTAAGCCTGGCTAGGCTGCTTTTCTTACCCTCTTCTACCCTGCCACACCCCTACTACTTCCTTGCAGGGCTTACCCCAGTGCCTATTCCTCCCTCGCAGGGCCTTACCCGAATGCCTACCTCAGATTAAGCCAGCCCAGACCCCAAGCTAAATTCCTGGCCTACACCTAGTTAAGAGAGGGTGGAGTTCTATGGCCAAGGAGCTCAGGAATAAAGGGAAAATACAGTGACTCCCAAACCCTAAGACCTACCTCCTTGCCTCCCATGGCCTCAAACATTTTCTCCAGCTGGACCCTCAGTTGCTGCACGTTGTTCATCAGGATGCAGGGCTTTGGGGACAGATGTAGCTGTTGAGTCTTGGCTCCTTTCAGCATAGGACCCATTAGCCTAGGTTCCCTCCCTCTCTCACAAAAGCCACAGGGACTTCACATATGACATAGGTTTCTCCCTCAGCACTAAGAGCTGGGGCCAGTTCAGATAATTCTCCTTGACTAAAAGCAAATGTTTTCATTTTTAAGCTGGGTGGTAGGTACTCAAGTATTAATGTATTATCCTTTATAACTTTCTGAATATCTAAAGTTTTTATATATATATTAAAAAAAAGACTAAGCAAAGGTCTAGCTTAGCAGAGGATAATGTACCAAATGAGACTCACAGGAACTCTGTCAAGTTCTCGTAATTTTGTGGCATGGATCTGAAGCAAAGCCATGGTGGGAATCAGGCATCAGGAGTGTCACCCCAACCCTCAATTCTGAGGACAGCTTCAAAAGCAAGGATTCAAATGTCTTCCACTCTCTTTCTGTAAGAGTCCCAGGGCCTGAACCTACCAGTTTCTCCTTTGTGCAATAGGCTGGGAAGTCCTTTGACAAGATGTCTGCATACTGCATCAGCACCTTCCCGATGGTCTGAGAAGAGGAGAAAGGAAAGAAAAGGAAAGGGAACTCTTAGCTCTTCTATGGGGATCTTGCCTGAGGTGGCACTTCTCATCACAGAACAATAACAACAGGGAGGTAAAGGGGGAATCCCACAGTACAGGAGAAAGCTCTCTCTCAACCACAGAACAGCACTAAGACAGAACCATCTGTCTGCCCCAGAAACCAGCAAAGGAGAATGGGGGTCACACGAGCTTTACCAGGAGGCCACAGTGGAGAGGTGCTGAGCTCAGGCCTGTGATGAGACTGTGAGTGTGGTGGTGGTAAGGGGGAGGGAGTAGGAAGAGTTATGGTCACCTTAGCAAACCTCCTCATGTAGTGGGCAAGGATGCTGGGGTCTGGGCATTCCAGCTTCCGGATGATCTCAAAGCTCTGATTGAGTTGTGTGAAGACATCCACCACAGAGCAGGAAAAGAGTGCATGCTCTGATGTCTGCTGGAACTAAGGAAGACCACACACAGGGTCACCATCCACAGCTGCTATCTTTTCCCAAGCTTGTAGAGTTTGAAAAGGCTCTGACCAGCAAGAGTGGCTAATGGCCCTCAACAGCCCTCCTGTGAACTCCACAGGGCAGGCATAGCCATCCTGGCCAAAGCCCAGGAACTTCTGCCAATAGCTAATTGCTGGGAGACCTGGCCTGAACCCGGTGCAGCCAAAGCCCCTGACTTACTCCATCCTTCTTATCTCGTTCCAGGGCCCCACGCAGGAATTCCAGGGATACATCCTCATTCTCATCCAGCCATTGTAGCACGAACTGCTCAAACCACCTGCAGCCACAGCAGGAGAACAGGGGCTTAGAACTAGCGGTGGGAATACGCCACTTCCTGACAGCTCCACCAGACTGGGGTCCTCGGGATGGCAGGGCACAGTTTAACACTTTTCTTTGTCTACGGTGGTACCTGAACAGGCAGTCCCCGAGACTGGCTTGCTGAAATGAATTGGGGATACTAGCCCTGCCCACCCAGAGGGCTCCCTTCCCTCTGTAGTGCCCACATGATGACTCACGCTGGGTACTCAGGCACCTGCCCCTGGAGGACAGGCAGATCCCGCACGTATTCATTGTGGAGCCACTTCACCTTGAAGTGCAGGTTCATGTAGTCAGCACTTTTACACAGGTGGTCTTTCTCATGCTCTAGTGGTAGGGAGAAAGGTTGGGTCAGGTCCCAGCAGTAGAGGCCATGGTTCCTGAGCCTTCCCAAGGCAGCAGATCTGGTCAGGCAGCTCCATCAGATGTCTTAGGACAAGGGTGACTCCCAACCTCCTTCTCACAGCCATCTCTCCCCAACAGTGTTCTGCTCAGCAACTCTCCACAAGCTTGGCCCAAATCTTCCTCTAGAAAGACTAAGCCAGACTCCCAGATAAAGCCTGCAGTCTTTTTGCTCTAGCGTTTGGAAGTGGTCTTTTTGTTCTAGCATCTGGCCTCTGGTGTAGAAGAGGAGAAAGGGCCATGGGTGCTGATGCTGATTAGTAGGGAGACTGCCCATGACTGTAGAGGACAATGGTTTTCCAGGGCCTTTCTGATCACAGTAGCTGAGTCATCCTTCAGACAGGCTTAAAGGCAGAGATGAGCAGGTGTACATGGCATGAATGGGTCAGTGACAACTACAGAGACAGGGAAAATCAAACTGGGCCCAAGTTGACAGAGCAGTTGGGCAGCCATGGTGTAATGGAATCTTGAGGCAAACTGAAGGGCTCCAGGGCAGAGCTGAGACATTGAAAAAATGAATTCTCAGGGAAGTATGCAAATATGAATAGTCAGTTTGGAAACTATGGAAACACAGCCAGATGAAAGGACATATCATGCTGCAGAAAATGGGGCACTTACTACGAATTTGAAAAGTCATCTTGCTGAATCTCCAGAGCCTTCTGGAAAATCTAAGACAAAGATAACTCACAATTTGCTCAGAGTCTGGAGCACTGGCCACACCCATAGGTTCTCTTCATCTACCCGCTTCATAGTTGAAGCACTAATTTGAATAATAAAAATCAATTGTATGCTGACACATCAACATAATGGTAAAAGCAAGCAAATGTGGGAGAGGACTAAGCAGCAGAGAAGAGAAGGCCACTGTCCTTGGGGACTTTGTTGCTCAACTTTGAGTTGCCATGGGTGATGCTCCTCCAAGTCAAGGCGGAACATCCAGGCTGGGGCAGCTGGCCCTTGTGAACTAGTGTAGCAGACACTGAAGGAGGAAATGGAAGCCCGGGATTCTGCCTCAAAGGGCTTCAAGTCCCAGGAATTTCATTCCCTGGCACTGCAGGCAGCACTGTCTCAACCTAAAGTTGCATTTGCAGTCTCTTCTATGAAGCAGTGAGCAGGAGAAGAGGGAAAAGGTGTAAGACTAGAGGCAAAAGGACAACTAAATGTTCTTACCACCCAGAAAGAGGACTTTTCGTATATGAATGACAGTGGTTGCTTGTGACAGAGCAGACACCAATGAGCAACAAAGAGAGTGAAAAAATCAGGGACATCAGAGAGACCCTCAGGGACATCAAAAGAGAGCCCCTCTCCTCCACCCCCATCCCCTGCTGTTCTGGAACCAGTCTAAGAACCTAGAAACATCAGGAGGGCCCTCCTCCTTCCTTTTCAAGCAGGACTGCCCATCACTCCATAACTCCCTAACTCTTTCTTTTAGGGACCTTCAAGTTACTGTTTCTACATATAATTTTCACTTTCTCTGTCAATTTATTATCTGCACTCTGGCCCCTATCCCTAATTTCTGTATTAACTTCTCTGGTATAAAAACTAACTGACAAGTTCTGAAACACCGGTCACACTTTAAACTATTCTAACAAGTCCCATGGAGTCATGCTCCAGTAAAGTTGTTTGAGGTGGGGTAATCTGTCAGAAAGGCCAATCCATAACCTCCTGCCCCTGACTTCCACCTAACTCCCTCCTTTCCTCCTGGAGAGCTCTTCCAACCTCATGATTTCAACTACCCAGTTTGCTGGTATCTCCCCCTAATCTCTCTTTGGTTCTGGTAACGTCTATATAAACTTCTTATTTTTTTTGAGATGGAGTCTCGCTCTGTCACCCAGGGTGGAGTGCAGTGGTGCTATCTCTGCTCACTGCAACCTCTGCCTCCTGGGTTCAAGCAATTCTCCTGCCTCAGGCTCCTGAGTAGCTGGGATTACAGACATGTGCCAGCACACCTGGCTAATGTTTGTATTTTTAGTAGAGTTGGGGTTTCACCATGTTGGCCAGGCTGGTCATGAACTCCTGAACTCAGGTGATCCACCCGCCTCAGGCCCATAAAGTGCTGGGATTACAGGCGTGAGCCCCCATGCCTGGCCTATATAAGCTTCGGATGGAACATTTCATCATGCCTAGATTTAACTTGCCCCTGTCTCTCACTATCTTAAAATCTCCAGCTGAAGTGGAACAGAGTACACCAACTAATCTTACCCTCTTGTTCAATGCTGAGCATCATCCTCAAATCTTCTTTCTACCTCTTTATTCATACCCAGTTAAATCGCCAGCCCCTGATTTCACCTCCAAATGTCTCTGGAATCTATCCATTCCTTCTAGCCACGCTATTACCTGCCTAGGTCTCATTACCCCCATCTGTAACCTGGATTACTATAATAGCCTCCAGACTGGTCATTCTGCCTCCCAATCCACTCTCCACACTGTAGACAGAGCGACTGGCCTTTCTACATAATAATCTGATCATGTCAATCCCTTGCTTGACATATGTCAGTGGCTCCCAGCTACCTCAAGATAGAGTCCAAAAGTCAGCTGGATGCATTGGCTCACACCTGTAATCCCAGCACTTTGGGAGGCTGAGGGGGGTGGATCACTTGAGGCTAGGGTTCAAGACCAGACTGGCCAACATGGTGAAACCCCGTCTCTACTAAAAATACAAAAATTAGCTGGGTGTGGTGGCACACGCTTGTAATCCCAGCTACTCGGGTGGCTGAGGCATGAGAATCGCTTGAATCCAGGAGGCGGAGGTTGCAGTGAGCCAAAATCAGCCCACTGCACTCCAGCCTGGGTGACACAGAGAGACTCAAAAAAAAAAAAAAAAAAAAAGAGAGAGAGTCCAAAAGCCTATGCATGGCTTACAACCTCCTTCACGATCTGACTCCGTCACACCTCTCCATCTTCAGGTCTTACTTATCTCTTCCCCTACCCTCTGAAGTGCTAGTCACACTGAACTGCTGCTTCCAGTTCTCCAAGCATGCCAGCTCTCTCTAGACCCCAGGTCTTGGACATGCTGTAGCCTCTGCTTGAAATGTTCTGTGTCTCCCTTTCTTGTCACTACCACCCTCCTGGCTAAATCTTATTACCCTTCAGGTTTCGGCTTGTACATCACCTCCTCCAGGAAGCCTTCCCAGGTCCTCAGAATCTGGGTTACATGGTTCTCCTGTGTGCTCTCAGCACCCTATACTTACTCCTCTTGTGGCATTATAACTTTGTGTTGTAACTACCAATTTATACGACTGTTTTCTAGACTGCTCTGTGAGTTTCTTAAGGGATGGTGCTATGCCTTGTTCATCTCATTGGGTTCCAATAACCAGCACAGAGCCAGGCACAGAGAAAATATTCAATAAACATTTGGTGAATGGAGTGGGGATTTACTGCAAAGTGGCAAGAAGGAACTTTTGTTTCATATTTTAATTGGGAGAGTTGTTACACAGTTGGGCTTATTTGTCAAAACTCATTAAATTGTATTCTTAAAGTGGTCTTATTGTATTGTCTATAAATGATACCTTAATAATGTTGACTTACAAAATATTTGGTGACGGACAGCATTTTCTTTTCTTTTCTTTTTTTTAATGTTTCACCCTTTTCTTTATTTTATTTTATTTTTTATTATACTTTAAGTTTTAGGGTACATGTGCACAATGTGCAGGTTAGTTACATATGTATACATGTGCCATGCTGGTGCACTGCACCCACTAACTTGTCATCTAGCATTAGGTATATCTCCCAATGCTATCCCTCCCCCCTCCCCCTACCCCACCACAGTCCCCAGAGTGTGATGTTCCCCTTCCTGTGTCCATGTGTTCTCATTGCTCAATTCCCACCTATGAGTGAGAATATGCGGTGTTTGGTTTAGTCAGAGTCAATGCCACTCTCCTATCATCCAGGCCCCCAAAACTCCTCCCCTTCTCTTGCCCTCCATATTCTGACAATCACGAAGTCCTGTTCTGGCTTCCTTCCAATGTCTATCAAAGCCCATTCTCCTCTCTCCACTTCCCTTCTCTAATCCCAGCACCCTCTATCCCTAAATTATTACAACAGCTCTTCATTATCTGCGTTCTCTGATTCTAGTCTCTCCCTATTCTAGCTGCCCTCATCTCCCACTGAGGTAGATCTTATTAAAATACTGCTGGCTTCACATTGCATCTCTGCTCAAGAGCCTGCAATGGTTTCTTATTGTTCTTAAGAACTAAGATTTAGTCAGTGCTGAGTAAGTGCCAGGCAGTATGCTAAATACATCTCAGTACTTCATCAGTTCAAAGAAACAGATGCTATCATCACTCCCATTTTACAGATGAGAAAATGGGAGCTCATAAAAATTAAGTAGTTTGGACCAAATTCACAGTGCTACATAGGCGGTGAAATTGAGGTATGAAATCAGGCCAACATTAATTCTTTCTCTTAAAGTAGAAGTTTTCAATCCTTTTGTGTTTGTTTTAAACATTAGCAGAACTCCCCTTTCAAAAGAAATCTCAGCTAGAATTCCATGTAAGATTGATAAATGCAGGGCTGGCTGAGCTGTCATCATGCAAGAGGCCTGGAGCCTAGCCTCTGGGTTTCCCCTTCAACTTAGCTCCTAAGATACTTCTGTTTGAAAACCTCTGCCCCACCTCACACTACTTCTCTTGTGGAGTTGATTCACTTTTCACAGGTGTTTTCTCTTTTCCCCCAAACCCACTGGAGCCAGAGTTCTTCAAGAACTGAGACTGTACTCCCCATCAGGCTCACTAAGTGGCATCTGGAGGGAGAGACCAATGACCTCCTCCCTGGCCTGACAGCAGGCAGCCCTGCTCTGGGCTTGTGTTACAGAATGTATGCGTGTAGTCTGTGGCTGGCTCAAATGTAACACAGATCTTCAAGGTTTCTTTCAATCTCAAGACTCACTGATTCTAAACCTCACACATTCAAGCATCTGAGGGTGGCTCATCTGCCCTGCCATCCCACCCAAATAACAGATCCAGACTCTGCTTTGTCCTTGCCCAGATGGCTCCTCCTCCTCCTAGATGGGCTTTCACAGACTGAGTAGAGAGACTACCACACATAAAATGGCAGGAAACGCTGCTAAATAGGTGAGTACAGATGGGTACAGATAGGAAGGTCTAATACAGGTATGGAATGATATCTTTGTGGACCAAGGTAGGAAATGAATAAAAGAACAAGCTGAATGAGTAAGATGAATAATAATTTGCCTGTGGCCCTGCTCTATAGGAGAAGTGAGGGAAGAAGTATCTTCCTGGCATTGTCATACTAATCCAGAGCAGCTTGCAAGAAAAGCCAGGCCAGAGAGTCCCCAACATAAGAAAACAATTACATCTATCTGTGTATTTAAGGTTCTCTGATTCTTTAAAACTGAAGTTTCCCAAGACCATTCTCCAGGAAGTGGGCCACCTAAGAACACCCACCATGGGAGAATTTCATCTCTGGGCTGGGAAGGTCTTGAACAGGCAGTTGCTCCAAAGCTGGAAGGAGGAAGCTACATCCACACAGCCATTTTCATATGTCCTTTGGCTGCAACTTTGCCCACCCAAGGTCTCCCGGGGCCTACATCCCACTAGGCCTAGAATTCCTTTAGTTTCTCACTATACCACTCACCCAGAACTTGTAGTTGTCTAGAAGAGGAAAGGGACAGTGAACGAGGAGCTTGGGCTAGGAGCCTGGCAGCCCACTGATTTGAACAGATCCTTACCCTCCAATGCATATTTCATGTCTTGGGCAAACAAATGCCACATCACTTCTGCGCTGACTTTTCCCACATTCAACTCCTGAGGAAACCTGGATGACAGAAGAAACCACAGTCAGAGAATAAGGCAAGAGCCATTTGATTTGATTCATTTCAAGGCTAAAGTGCCTAGTTCTTGGAAGTCATATTGGAGAGAGGAGATGCTTAGGGAACAGGGCTAGGTCCAATCTGGAGAAAAGGGGCCCAGGGGCCAGGGGCCAGTGGCAGGACAAGTGAGGGCAGAAGGGATCCCCATAGGCAAGATGGGCCTGGGGGCAGAAGATGCCCAGAAGGCAGGGAATTGAGAGGTAGAGACTCTCCAGGCAGAGGCTGGAAAGCAGGCGCAGGCTAAATAAGCTGGAGGAGAAAGGGCAAGTGGGGGTGGGCTATAAGAAGGCCCACTTCATTCACAGTGGACAGACACATACACACATGGTCTCTGGATCCCCTGGGGCTCCTATGGCAGTCCCAGTCCCAGAAGTCTCTCACTCCAGGGAAGCTGGCTCAATCTGGCCAGGGACCCCCATTATGTTTCCACACCTGTCTCCAGAAACAGTTACCCAGACAGATACAAGGGACAGAGGGACAGATGGATGGACAGGAAGAAGAGGTGGCACTGCAAACATACAGAGACAGGAAAGAAAGAGGTTGTTAGACAGATGGACAGACCAACCACCAACAGACAGGGCCAAAGAGGGTGATACTCACTGGTTCAGAACAGGTGTGTAGGAATTCTTATCTTCCTCTATGATTGACACGATGAGTGTGATGAGCTTGGGCCAGAAATCCAGGTTCCGAATGCTGGGCCCTTGTTCCTCTGGAGGTAGCTCCTGCTTCTTGATCCAGAGGACACAGTGAGAGAGAGGGAGAAAGAGTCAGAGTAGAATGTAGAGGGTGTCTCCAACGATCCTCTTTCTCTTCCCCTTCCTATACCTCTTCCTCTAGAATCAAGGACCTTTCCTCTCCTAGAGCCTGTCTTCCACAAGACTATCCCTGTTCTGTAAGAGTGACTATTGTGAGATCCCTGAACACAGGGAGCCTATCGCTGAGAAGTTCTCTCTGATAAACTTGGTCAGTCCAAGAGACATAAGGATGCCCATCCTCCTTCCTTCTCTCAGTTGCTATGGGCAGAGTAACTCGCTGGCTAAAGGAAACAGCCCCTCCAGCCTTACTAAATAGGTCTACTTCTATGCGGCCCCTACAGGCAGGCAGCCCTCCTCTTCTGGTGGTATTCCTCTACTGACAGCACACCACGACCACACACATACACATCTCAGCTCTGAGAAGCTCTTTCAACTTCTGCAGGAGCTACTGAACAGATCTGGTGCGCATTTCAGCCTTTCAGTGGAGTAGGACTTCCCTTGATCCCCTGAAGTTATTAGGGGGAAGAACTGCATCTAGGAAGCTATCTGCCTAACTAGATAAGATAGGGCCTTACTTGGGAAGAGGCAAGGGAATACAATGGTGACTTTCAGGTAAAGAGAAATCACTCTATATTCACAGCCCAGAAAAGTGAAGTAGGAGTCACCACAGGGAGGGTGGAACACACATTATCTCCCACTAAGTCAAAGGTGAAGGTGGAGCTGCCCAGAAGGACAGGAACAGGGCCTTTATGTGGGATGTCATATGTCACTGGAAAGCTTCCACAGTCCTTAATAAGCCTGCATTATCAAGAAGTTCCTAGAAACCAGGACAGAATCTTTAATATAACTTAAATACATCTCTTCCTTTTATTTTTCTGTCACTGTCCTGGCTCAGGCTCTTATCATTCAAGGATTTCTGAACTGGTCTTTGATCTTCAATCCAATCCCTCCTCCTTGCAGCTATCGTGATCTTTCTACAAAGAAAATCTCAATGTGTTACTCCTCTGCTTAAAGCCCTTCAACGGCGTTCAATACAGTTTAAATTCCTTAGTTTACACCTTCCAGAATATGACTCTCAACCTCATACCTTACAACTCTTTTTGTTCCAGCTATTACCACACCACCACCACTTATTTACTGCTTATTATGTGCCGCACACTCTGCTAAGACCTTTACACACATTATCCTATCTAATCCTCACAACAACTCCATTTAGTAGAAATTATTATCACCTTCATTTACAGATGAGGAGAGTGAAGGGCAGCAAGGTTACATGACTTGTCCAAAGTCATGCAGTTTTAAAGAGCAGAACTAAGATTTGATCCCAGATAGCTGAATCCCACAGCTGGATGCCGTAAGTACCCTAAATTGCTATACTTCTTTATCTTATTTTTATTTTGTCTTTTTTTTTGAGACGGAGTCTCACTCTGTCGCCCAGGCTGGAGTGCAGCAGCACGATCTCAGCTCACTGCAACCTCTGCCTCCTGGGTTCAAGCAATTCTCCTGCCTCAACTTCCCAAGTAGCTGGGATTCCAAGCACCCACCATCATGCCTGCCTAATTTTTGTATTTTTAGTAGAGACAGGGTTTCACCATATTGGCCAGGCTAGTTTCAAACTCCTGACCTCAAGTGATCCACCCGCCCCGGCTTCCCAAAGTGTTAGGATTACAGGCTTGAGCCATTGCGCCCGGCCTGCTTATATTTCTTTAAATTAACAAGCTCATACATAATTCTGTGCCTCCAAGCATTCTATTCTCTCTGTGGTATGCCCCTTCCCTCCAGCCCCTTTCTTTAGTTAATTCCTACTCCTTCCTCAAAATTCAGATTGAACTTTGCCTCTTCTGAGAGATTTTCCTGACATCCTTGGTCTGGGCTCCCACAGCACCCTCTGTGAACCTTTGGTGTAGATGTATCAGAAAACTACAACTACAATAAAACATAGTAACAACAAAATAACAACAACAAAAAAACAATAAATGTAGTAATTTGCCCTGACCTCCACTAAACCATGAGATCCCCAAAGGCTGAAATGTCTCTTACTCAACTTTATGTCTCTAATGCTCTGTTAAGTAAATGAATGGACGAATAAACCAATGACTGAAGGTCAACAGATGGAAATTTTAAAAGACATCAAGAGTTTATGCCAGTGTAAATATGGAATAAGGAAAAAATGAAATTGAGAGAAAGTAAAAAGCAGATACTAAAATACAAAGGCTAAAGAGTATCCCTGAATAGTTTATGAGAACAGTGTCTTTCCTCAACCAGAGACTTCATAGACAGATGACAGAGGAGCCTAGAATGTATCAAGTAAAACAAAGGCCTCAGGAAAACCTCCCATGGATTTCAGAATCAACAGGAGGCTTTAGAAACCTTAAAAGGAAGAAGCCTTAAATACATGGCTGGCACAGAAAGTACACTTGGGAATGAGAAGAGGCAGTAGGAACAAGATCTTAGTCTTTATGAGGGTGTTCCTAGGAAGCTTTACAAATTGGATGTAGTTACTTAAAGATAAATGTCCAAGACATTTAGGTTGTCCTGCCATCATTGGTTGTCCAAATCCCACTGCCTTTTAAGGTCTATCTCAAATGTTCCTTGTTTTATGTAGCTTTTCCTGGTATCTGATCAAGAGTGCGAAAAGACTCTTCCTCCTTGGAATTCCTTTAATCTTATCCCTTTTTCAAGGCCCTTCAAACAGACTCTTTTGATTAGAGTTATATATATGTTTATGAGACTGCAAACTTACTGAAGGAGCACTGTGCTCTCCTCAGACCTGGCCTAGAACAAACATTCAATATTTGTTGGACTGAAGGGAATCCACTCTGCAAATGTATGGTCAGCAAGAAACTCCTAAGATTGGAACTGTAATTGAGTAATTGGAGCTAGAAGTAAGTTCTGGCTTTCAAATAAGTTGGGAGCATGGATCGGGGACACTATTAGAAGGATCTGGGAAAATGTACTAAGTCACCAGGTACTGACTTAGGGTGCCAGGCTAAAACAGGTGAAGTAGCTCAGCCTCACAGAAGGATAGGGTCAGTCTTGATAGCCAGTGGATGAATACAACCCAGAAGAACCACACATTTCAGAGAGAAGTAATTAGAGGGAAAAGTAAAGCTTCCAGGAGCCAGCAGCTCAGAGACCACTTCAGATCTCAGAGGAAGGAAGCCCAGAACTTACAAGAGTCTGCAAGAGTCAGAATAAAGTTAAACTTGAGGGAGAAAAAAAGACTCTGGGATGGACTGAGAATTCCCCTACTCAACCCCTGAACTGTGCATGAATTTAGGTTTACTTTCTTCAACATCATTATTGTTGCCATTTCTGTTCAATTCAGGTATGTCTCATCTTGCCCAGGGGTCTCTTTCCATCCACATATCTCACATGGTCCACATGGTTCATACTCCACAACTCACTCACCCTTGAGAACATCAAGTACTTTGTCCTGAGTGCTTTTCCACCACCATCATGAAGGAAAACTGAGGCTCCAAAGAGCCACTGACAGCTGGCCCCACCTGATCCTGAACCTCTTACCAGCTGGTACTGGCGGCTGTATAAGTCGTGGCAGTTGTTGAAGATATATTCATATGTGGAGTTCAAACAGGCCTTCACACAATCCTTTACCACCTGGCTGGCTCTTGGAGGGCTTTGCAGTTCTTGTACCTGCCAATTAAAAGAAGAAATATGGGCCCAAGGACCTGCTCACCTGGGTGGGATATTCTCCTAGCACTACCCCAAACCTACTCTAGATTCTTTCATCCCTGTCTGGGTCCCTAGACTTTTCCCTGTGATGAAATTGCCAGGATAGTTGACAGGGAAAACTTCCACCCCATCCTCATGGATCCATAGTCTATGTGCTCTCTCAGAAGTAACCCAGGGAACAGGTACACAGAAATGTAAGCTTAGAGGTGATGAATCCTGTAGCCTCAGACTCTGCCCAATGATTCTCATTCTTCACGTTCCTGTAGCCAGGTCTCCAGCCCAGCACCACCCAAGCCCCAGTCCATTTCTTACCTTCATTCTGAAGAAAGTAATGCTGGTCAGCAAATCCACTGTGGATTTTAAGTCCTGAAGCCGTTCAGGACTCCCAGCAGGGAAATTATTCTGTTGCAAATCAAGCAAATGTAAGAAAGGAACAGAGGACTATGAAAACCTTCCCTGCCAAAAGTGATGATATCAAAAGCTTCCCTAATTGTTACCTACTGGGTTTTTCTCTAGTTGAGCTGGCCAAAAACACTGTAAAGTTACAGGTCTCCTTCTCTTTTTTCTATTGATGCAAACAGGCTCTTGCCAAAAGCAGGGGTTAATACTCCCCACCCTAGAAAGTGACACATCCTCCTCCAGCCCTACTTCCCATGCAATGTATAAGCACTTGTACAAAGGAACACACAGGCACACACAAACTTACACACATGCTTTTTTCTTGGATGAAGATTCTTACACACCAACAGTGAGTTCTTCGAAAATTACAATCTAACTGTATATCCTGGAATATAAGTGGAGCCACACTACAGACCAAACTGAGGTCCAGGACCTGTACTTTTTGTACAATAGAACCCAGCTCTTCTACTGTTCTGCAGCCAGCAGATGGCAGATCTCTGAGCAGAACTGCTTTTGGAGTGAGTTCCTTAGGAATTTCCAGCCATCCTTACTTCATTCACTTTGGCACGAGTCTTAGGAGGGAGCTGCTATGAAGAGCTGAAGGGAGATGCTGAGCCTGTCTTCACATTAATGGTCAGTTTTTAAACCTTCAAATGGCTACTTATATGCCAAATATAAGATATACAGTCAGCTGTCCATTATTTGTGCAAATGGAGGGCACTTGAGTGCAGACAATTAAAACCTCATTTCTTTTTGACTTTAAGGTTGTTTTTATACTTACTTTTTAATGTGCATATATTGCCTGTTCTGAAAATTCACACACTTTAAAGCAAGTAATGAAGCCATTTCTAAGATCTAACATAGGAGGAACTAAGAAACTGCCCATTTCCTTATCCTGTCCCGTCCCAGTAACCATCCTCCTACTATACCTATTTCCTCCCTTTATACTAGGAATGGACATGCTCTCTGATACAGATTACTTGCAAAAGCCAAGCTACTCTCTGTCCCCTAGCCAGATTCTCACACCTCCGCTGGAAAACGAGGAGAGTATGGAAAAATGCAAAAAAGAAATGTAATTAGGTATCTAATTTTTTAAAAGGATACTCCTGGAAGAGATTATCCTCAGGAAACTCCCTAATGAGAATGTCACCAGAGAGTTTAGTAGAGTGTTAAGAATGAGGTTGGAAAGACAACTGTCTATAAAAACTAACCATACCTGCTGCTATTTATACACCACATGGTCCCTGGAGTTAAAAGAACCACAGGTGTCAGTAGCATTGGCCATTTGGGTGGATGTGATGACACAGACCAGTTTTCCCTGGCCTCAATCTTTATAGCCAAGATTGGCCTACAGTCTCTCTGGGACCGTGCTTGATATCTATTATCCTGCCCACAGCCGTGTCTTCACTCACCCTGTATGTAGAGAGGTCGATCCTCAGTGAGTTGTGTAGCTGGTCCAGCAGTTTTACAAATCTCTCTTTCTGAGGGTGAGAAACAAATAAAGGGGAAGAAAAAGAGAACCTGTGTCTGAGTCCCCTAAACTATAACAGAAACAGAACCACCCCTGGATGAGTAGAAAGAGTCGGGAGGCATTGGGTTGGAGACACATCCCTGCCCATGGGAAGAACAACAAACAGTGTAACGGAAAAAATGAGATAGAAAGTCCCTGTTCTATCTCTTTGCAGCTCTGTCCCAATCTGGGAAATCTCACACTGACAAGGAAAAAGCCAAGTCCCTGGGGGGAGAAATGGCTCCTTCTATATGAGAGTCAATAGGGCATGACCAGTGCATCTCTATACCTTTGGGACTGTAACTTATCTTAGTTAGATAAGAAGAAACTCCAAACACATTCTCTCTTGAGTCTGAGGTCTCCTGACTTATCTCGGGGTAGTGCATAACAGTTATACAGCCACAGCCTAGCAGTGATGATAGGAGGGAGAATCTGATGCATATGAAAGATAACAGGACAGGCAGGAAGGGGTCTCTCTTTAAACCACATTCCACACACATTTCCCATAGTGTATACTTTTTAAATGTTAAAATATCTAACATATACTATTTTAATAGCTGATTTTCATAGAAAAAGTATAATTAAACGTGGAATCATATGCCTGCAGGATGTTGGCATCCCACTCCTAGAACTCATATATTGATTATATGAGTAGATGTTGATTAAGTCAATACATAATGAGATGAGGCAAAATGGAACAAATATTTGACTGGCTTAATAAGTTACACATCTACAGAAAGGCTCTATCAACAACAAAAAATTCATTAGTACAAAAAAGTCAGATTTCATAGACTCAGTGAATTGGGGTGATATCAGTAACTTTATGCCCAAAATGGTAATTTTTGTGTTGGGTCAGAATTATTTTATCTAGTTTATACTGAATTAATGTCAGGTGACATTCTGAGTAATGACTCAACTTCTCAGGTACCTTAACCCAGGAAGGGCACACCCTGGATAGGGAAAACAGTCTGGACACTAGAAAAGGAACAGGTTCAAGTGCACACTGGCATCATTGCTTAGACATCAGTCTCATATCAACTCAAGTAATATGAATCCATCACAGACAGACTGAACAAGATTTTTAAAAATCCATTTGTGGACCTGCAAGACTGAAGAATATGGAAGACTATCGTAATTCAACCAAGTTGTTGGCCCAGAGGGGTTCTGGCCAAGCCCAGGTGGTACCACCCCCAACCACCTTCTCTTCTTTATCTGTGTGTGAGGAGAGGCTATTAGTATAGTCCGCATACCCATAAGGAAACAGGAAACAAGATTCATCTATCAAAATGGTAGCTATCTGAATTTTAAGCACATCAAGTAACTCTATAGGACCAGCCAAGAAAAATCAAACTTGGCTGGGCACGGTGGCTCAAGCCTGTAATCCCAGCCCTTTGGGAGGCCGAGGTGAGTGGATCACCTGAGGTCAGGAGTTCCAGACCAGCCTGGCCAACATGGCAAAACCCCCATCTCTACTAAAAGCACAAAAATTATCCGGGCGTGGTGGCGGGTGCCTGTAATCCCAGCTACTCAGGAGGCTGAGAAAGGAGAATCGCTTGAACCCAGGAGGTAGAAGTTGCAGTGAGCCGAGACCACGCCACTGTACTCCAGCCTGGGCAACAGAGCGAGACTCTGTCTCAAAAAAAAAAAAAAAAAATCAAACTTTATTAATTGGTAACAAATGCAGACATATGTGTTTACATGATACTTACCCCAAAGTTGGAGGCTGCAAAGCGATCAGATGCAGAGACATTGGTAGAGGCAGTTGTGTGGGCATAGTAGGCGTTGATGTTGGCCAGTAAGGTGCTCATCACTGCTGGCACACCAGGACACATGTACTTGGATGATAAACATGCAAAGTGCCTGAAAAACACAGCACCCGCAGCCTCAAAGACTCTTCAGGGCTTGCAGCAAAAGCCAAGCAGGAACTCTAAAAGTTTATGGGATAAATGAAGCACAGCCAGGGCAATTGCTGCCCTCTCTTGCCTAGGGCTACTTTCTGCACACAGCTCTAGGGGCAGCCTCACTGACAGAAAGGCTACCCTGCTTCTCATAGCAATCTGGAATTCCCATTCAAGGAGTCCTGGTCAACTCCATACACAGCTGCTTTCCCTGCAGTTTAGTGTTCTCTTTGAACCCCCAGGCCAGTCTAGGCCAGACCGGTTGTCACAAACACATGTACACGAGCACACATACCCTGTCTGCTCAGGCCTGTGATGTCTAGGCAGGTTGTCCTTGCATACTCTCACATGCCTCTTTCCCTGCAGAGTTCCCTCAACTCTGAGGCAGACAGAAATACCTTTTCTGTGAGTTACAACATTCTTTTTCTACATATACCCTTCTTGTCTTGGGGCATAGACCCATCTCACCCAGCTCAGAGAGGAAAGTAAAGGAATCACTGCATGCTACCTCACTAAGGACCTGCCCACCATGTCAGTGTGCCTTAATTAGCCACCCCAGTGATTAGTAGCCACTTCCCGGTGCCGCAGCAGAGACTCACGTCATGGCCTGATATATGGACTCAATGCCATAACGCATGGCAAATTCATCCACAATTTCTTGGGCTGTCTCATCAAAGTACACCTTCCAGGCATCGTCTCCTCGAGCTTCAGGGATGCGGACTCCTCCACTGCCCTGAATGTCTGTGAGGTAATGGAAAAGATTCTGCAGGAGACAGAGCAGAGAAAGGGAATGGGTTAAACACATATGAAAGACAAAAACAAACTTGGTGGTAAAGCCCAGAAGAATGTGCACAAGGTCCCACAGAAATTCTGTCCTTCCAGTCATTGCTCAGTTCCTCCTGTGGCCCCAGTAGGCTGTTCTCACATTAGTGGAAGAGAATGCAGTCTGAGTTCAGTCACTCGGACTCTCCAGGGTAACAGAGTGAATCAAGGATAAAATTTAAAATGGGCCTCGGATTCCAACCACCTAGCAATCCTACTTATGGCCAAAGGCCTCTCCCAGCACTGCTTTCTGATCCCCCACCTACCAAGGGCTGGCTCACCTCATGGAGACATGTATACTGCACGTGGTATGGGGCTACTTTCTCCTCCCCCTTGATCTCCACACTGATTTGTAGTCGGATAGCCCCTGAGACGGCTGATTTGTCTGTCCTCTTCTCTAGGAAGGAAAGAAGACTGGAGATTGACACCAATGCAACTAGACAGCATAGATAGTTCCATTCTGGCTTAACCCAAGGAAGAGAAGGGGCCAACCCAAGGAAAAGAAGGGGCCAACCCAAGGACTCACCAAATAGGGTGAATCACTCCAGTGACCACATATTCCACAAGTACCCTTGAACTAGCTGGGTAGGAGAACAGGAGTGTGGAGGGGGGACAAAAGCACTAGTATGAAGATTAAAGGGCCTTCTGAAACCTAGAGAACATTCAGCCAGAGTGACTCACAGCCACTGCCACTCCTCTGTCCCCCATCCCTCCCCACAGTCAGTTCTTTGCAGGTGAGACAGGCTCTGTATAGAGGTATGCTTTGGGGACAGATGGTGGTTTTGGTAGAAGGACTATTCCCAGGTCCCCTTCATGCTTTCCCTTCCAAGCAACTTTCTCGGGTCCAGTTTCCTCACCCAAGTTGTACCAGACGTCCATCTCGCCACTTAGGGTCCGAACCTCAATGATGGTTTGGCCAAGGAAATCATCAGACTCTCGCTTTAGGCGTTGCTTTACTCTTGACTTGATGTCATCATCCTCATCCCATACACGCACCTTAATGCGGTCAGAGGAGTTGTGGCACTCACTGTGAGAGAATTAGGCAGGCTCTGTTAGGGGCAGACCCAGTAGCGCCAAATCCTGTTACTTCCTATTCCCTCCCAAAAGCTCCGACAGCTGCACTTGAGGCCCTGAAAGAGGAGAAGTCAGAGGACAGCAGTACAAAAGTTCCAAGAAAGTTGGGCTATCCTAGCAAATGACTCTTCATTCCTCGGCCTGGGTGGCTCTATCTACCACTGTACAGTTCTTATTGTCCTAGAACAAAGGGCAAGGGGTGGAGGGAAGAGTAATTCAGGTCAATTCTGACTTCCTATACAGCTAGCTGTATCAGCAACACCAAGAGGAAAATAGCTAGACATGCCACGGAGCTCCAGGAAGCAACTGCTAGCTCCATCCTCAGAGCCCAGGACATGAAGTCAGTAAAGGTGCTAGACATGTTCATGGTAGGCCCATAGGGTTATAACTGTTTGGCTTTCTATCTAACTCTCTCATCTGCCTAACTATGTGCTTGGTGAACTTCTATATTAGCCTATCATATCCCATTGAATTGTCATCTCGTCTATCGGGTTTGCTTTGGAGAAAGGAGTTTTCCCAGGTCTTGTCTCAAGCTCTCCTCTCCAACAGTTGCTTTCTGGGATCTGTTGTTTCACCCAAAAGTTGTAACTGGCAAAATGTGCTCTTACTTTCCCTATGTTCTTATGTTATCTTTCCACATTCCATTAAAATATTACAGTATAACCACTGCTCTGTGAGAAGATAATAGACAAATCAACAAGGAGCTTCTTGAAGCCAGGGATTGTTCTATTCATTTTTGGATACACTGTATTATGTATAGTGTCTTGTACAGAATATGAGCTTAATAAACTGTTTACTAAAAGTGGGCAAAAATGACCAAGAGCTAGTTCATTTTAAATTAGTCATAAGAAGAATTCAAGCAGGAACTATTCAGATTCTCAAACAGGTGTTTCTCCTGGTAGCTATTAATATTATCTCTGGATTAGAGATGAATTTTACTATATCCTAATCCCTTTTTTTTTTCTTTTCTTTTTTTAGACGGAGTCTCACTCTGTCACCAGGCTGGAGTACAGTGGCATGATCTTGGTGCACTGCAACGTCTGCCTCCCAGGTTCAGGGGATTCTCTTCCCTCAGCCTCCCGAGTAAGCTGGGACTACAGGCACCTGCCACCATGCCTGGCTTATTTTTGTATTCTTAATAGAGATGGGGTTTTGCCATGTTGGCCAGTCTGGTCTGGAACTCCTGACCTCAGGTGATCTGCCTGCCTCAGCCTCCCAAAGTGCTGGGATTACAGGTGTGAGCCACCACGCTGGCCTTAATCCCTTTCTGAATCTTCTGAGGAGCCAACAGAAGGAGGCCTCTACATAGCCAGCCTGCTTGGCTGATTCAAATCCAAAATCCTGACCCTAGGCCTTATTAGGGAGCGACAAAGCATGTGGATTCTCAGACATTAGTTTGCCATTTTTCAATAACCATCCTTTACTGTCATAAGAAATAGTTTGTAAGAAAGTGAGATAATAAAAAAATGAGTGAGTGTAGAAGCTGAGGCAGGAAGAAACACTATCTTTATGGGAAACAGCATCTTCTTCAGAACCCAGATTTCCACTTTTAAGCCAGAATTACCCAGTTTTAGGACAAGGACACTCCCTCCCCACTCCTTATAAGAGCCTTCCTTATGAGAGCCTAACCCTACTGTACCTTCCTAGGCAAGGGTAGGAGGTACAATAAGGCAGTCAGTCCCTGGTTCTGTCACTGAGCAGTAAAGTAGTAAAATCTTTCTACTGCTAGAAAAAGCAGGATGGGGTGCCCTAGGGCCCCTTTAATAGCCCTGGTGAAGACAGGGCATGGGCACAGTAATCCTGACACAACAGCTCATGAGAAGAAAACCAGAGAAAGAATGGCTGATGTCTGAACGAAGCATGCGAGAAATGAGTTTTCTCCCCTGCCTTTGCCCAATCTTCAAGCTCAAGCCCAGAATGGCAGGATGTGATCCTGCTCCCCCAATACACACAGTCCCAGGTAAGACAAAGCTCTCTGTGACTTACAAATGGAACTTCTCCTCCCAAACAGGATTCAAGTTTCCAAAAATGGTCTTGGTACGCTTCTTAGTTTTGCTGACTTGCACAGTCACGTAAGGGTCACTGGATCCTGTTTTGTCCTTGGCTTGTAGGCCCTGGGCACACACCACTGCAACCCAAGCATGTATAGGAGGCTTCAGAGTCGTTCAGAAGCCCCCCACAACACTACTCATATGCTTTCCATCTTAGAGCAGTCTATGCTCCTTGCACAGATACCGTAATCCCATTCCTCCATATTTATTCTTTGTCCTGGGCCACCAGCCTTTCCCTTAAAGCCCAAGCATCCCATCTCCCTACCCAAGCCCTAACTGACCACTTATCTCTATATTGATCTTTACACCCTCTGATATATACATGCTTCAGCCCCACCCAGTTAGCAAACCACTGGTTAGCTACTCCCTGGTCCCCTGCCCTTCCCCTTCCCCCTCCCCCCACCTCTTATAATATCAAACTGTTAGCCAAGTCTACAGCGTTAGGTTGTTAGCAAATCCTTGTATTATGGTTCATGTTGTTTGCAGATAGCAATCTTGCCTCTCCGGCACCAGGGTCTAGGTAAGGAGAAGTGATTAATAAAGAGGCCTTTCCTTCCCAGTGATTTCCTTTTTCTTTCTCCCTAATCCCTTGCTCCCTCACGCTCAGGATGTTTCTTCCCCAGTCTCCTCCCCATAGCCCAGGCCTTCCTGTCCCCTCAAACTGTGGCCTGCTCACCAGTAATGGTGATCTTGGCTGACCATTTGGAGGTGCCATCCAGTACACTCTGCTTCACTGTTTTCATCTGCTGCACATGGGCAGCTTTGTTCACTGTGAAGACGTCCCGGATAACTTCAAAGATCTCTGGCTTATTTCGCTCTCGGATCTTCATGCGGTCCTTCATGGCCATGATAATGTTCTGGGTCCGGTCCTCAGCTCCATGTTTACAGCTCTTTTCTGCAGCCCCTGAAGGTGGCCAGGAACACAACAGGTCACCTACCAGACCAAGGGTTGAGCTGAGGAATGGGGCCTGGGAGAGGCTGCAGAGCAGTGGAGAAACTATGCAGCCAGCCTGGTTGCTAGTTCTCAGCAATTAAGCAAGGGCCCTCTGGCACCTGCACTTGCCACCCCTTCATGATGGATTTTGGCCAAGTCATTACTAGCATTTGTCTTCAGGCAGTCTTTTCAGAGCCCATCTCTTCCGCTGACTCTGTCCTACCTGTCTCTTCACGTCTAACCTAGCCTTGCCATTGGCACCAATTTGAGGCTCTTCAAAGGACATTTTCCATGAATAATTGCTCAAGGCCTCTCCCTGGTCCCCTTTTATATGTCATAGCTGTCCTTGGGATAATGAAGTACTTGTGGGTCTAGAGGTGACCTTCCCTTCTCCTAGCACAATCTTTAAAGCTTTCAGTGCTACAGCTTGGCTTGTGGGTAATACCTGGGAGGTCTGGAGGGCAGGAAAATAGTTTCCCACTTCCTTCACCCCTGCTTTTCCTGGGGTCCAGCCACAGTGAGTGCAAGGCCAGCAGGAGGGGAGCAAGGAGATATGAACTTTGAGCGCTACCATTTCCTCTAACAAGAACTTGTTGCTTTTCCTGCTCCTATTGTCCCCACTCCATCATGGCAGGACAAGTCATATATTTAGCCAAGGCCCTGGGGGTCTGGTATACTCTCCTCTTGGACCTCTACCAGATTCATTTGACATTTCTATTTCTGGCACTATTGTCTAAAAACAAGTAATGAATGCTGCCTTCCCTGAGTCCTAGATTCTAGGCTTTAGGAGGTTCCTCTGTGGGGCCTGGAACCCCACAAAACTCTATTTCTTTCCTCTCATTAGCCTCAGATCCTGATGCTTTTGTCATTTGGACAATAAGGCCGCTGTGCTGTATACACTACAAAGCTCAGTCTCTGGGATCAACTGAATCCTATAAGATTCTAGCTACACTACCACAGAAAGCTCAAAGAATTTTTCCTAAAGGTGCTTAAGAAGGTAGTGTAAGACCTGTTATTTGGAAAGGCAATGCCCCTTGATTCAGAATCCTACCTTCTCTGAAATGGATAGGGTTTCAGAATCAGGTGGACTGGGGGAATGATTGGTTCAGCCATCCCAGCTCTTTGCTGCAGACTATTTTGGAAAGCCCCTGCTGCCCCACTCCCCGCCCCTCATCCCGCAGGGCACTCACGCTGCAGGCAGTCAGCATTGAGCAGATCCTGGCACTTCTCATGGCACTTGACTCCACATTCGCTGCAGCGCATGCCCTGCCGGGCAATGCCCCAGAGCAGGCCTTCACACTCATAGCAGTAGGTTGGGGTAGTGGCCGTCCAGACCTCAAAGTTATGAGGAGTGGTGCACGAAATGGGGTAGATTAAGGCCTGCAGGGTTTTCTTATACACGTGGGATTTCTGAAAGACACATACCCCATCCCATGATTTTTGTTTTTTGTTTGTTTTGAGACAGAGTCTTGCTCTGTTGCCCAGGCTGGAGTGCAGTGGTATGATCTCGGCTCATTGCAACCTCCACCTCCCAGGTTCAAGCAATTCTCCTGCCTTGGCCCCCAAGTAGCTGGGATTACATGCACATGCTACCATGCCCAGCTAATTTTTGTATTTTTAGTAGAGACAGGGTTTCACCATGTTGGTCAGGCTTGTCTCGAACTCCTGACCTCAAGTGATCCACCTGCCTTGGCCTCCCAAAGTGCTGGGATTACAGGCATAAGCCAACATGCCTGGTCCCCATGACTTTTGGGTTCTGCAGGGAGATACCAGAACTGAGACCCTGTGGGACAATCAGGACCTTGATTTCGTGTCTCCTCTGGCAATGAAGAAGATGCTCTATCCTGGCCCAGCCCAGAGCCCAGCATAGCAGAATGAGGCCCACAATATAGTGTGCTTCTGGTTGTCCAACACAGGTTGGACCTGATGCTGGATCCGAGCCTTGTTCCAGCATTCACGCTTTCTAAGAAAACAGAAGGTACTAGGTCCATCATAAAACCTTGAGTTCAGTGGTCACACCCTTCAACATGAGACTTGGGCTTACTCTCTGATCTAGACTTGCTTAGAGTCTTTCCCAGTGTGGAAAACTAACACCTGATGCTATCTATCTTTTTCATCAGCAATGTGTGTCCAGCACTCTTGAATTCCCAGAATTCCCAATTATTAATAGCATGGCTACAGAGATGATCACCAGTCCTGAGGCCAGTGGACTTACGAAAGCACTTGGGACACTTACCAGCTCTTCGTCCTTAAGAGAAGTGCGTGTAGCCATTGCAGAAGTGATTCCTGCCTTCCGAGACTGGACCAGTGACTGTCAGGGAAGATCTGCTGTTAGCCCTGACCACTGCCAAGGGCTGGCAAAGTCTGGGGGAGGGAGCTTCAGTGACCAAAGCCACTTGACTATAGCTTACTACAGTACTTTCTATTTTTATTGTCACTCACAGCAACCGCCCTAACAGGTGACAAGTGTCCCAGGTTAAGATGCAAAACCCAAGGCCCTCAGGGGGCTGCTCTAACTATGTTAGAACAGCACTTTCTTCAGGGTATCTATCATCCAAAGAGTTTCTTTTTCTTTCACTCTTCTTAGTGTCCTACCCCACAGAAACTCCTTGTTTATGGGAAGGCAAAGGAAAATGAAAAGCTTAGAACTATAGTAGGAAACAGGTAATTAAGAATAATAGAGACACACAACTCTGTCAGAGTCACATTCAAGAGCCATTATGGAGAAAAATGATTCCATGCTAACCTCTATACCTTGGCACCTCCCCAAGCCCACATAATCCCTGGATGGCTGCAGAGGCCAGCAGGCCTACAAGTAGGGCACTTGGCAAGTGAAAAGGGCATTGAAGCCTCAGTCAAATCAAGCAGGACAGAGAGTTAAGTCTGAGAGCTGGGGCTGCCTTGCTAGCCACACTCTTGCATAGGGGGCCCCATGTATCTGCCAAGCCCAGAGAGTTAAGTCTGAGAGCTGGGGCTGCCTTGCTAGCCACACTCTTGCACAGGGGCCCCATGTATCTGCCAAGCCCAGAGAGTTAAGTCTGAGAGCTGGGGCTGCCTTGCTAGCCACACTCTTGCACAGGGCCCGATGTATATGCCAAGCCCAGAGAGTTAAGTCTGAGAGCTGGGGCTGCCTTGCTAGCCACACTCTTGCACAGGGCCCATGTATCTGCCAAGCACAGAGAGTTAAGTCTGAGAGCTGGGGCTGCCTTGCTAGCCACACTCTTGCACAGGGGCCCCATGTATCTGCCAAGCCCAGAGAGTTAAGTCTGAGAGCTGGGGCTGCCTTGCTAGCCACACTCTTGCACAGGGGCCCCATGTATCTGCCAAGCCCAGAGAGTTAAGTCTGAGAGCTGGGGCTGCCTTGCTAGCCACACTCTTGCACAGGGCCCCATGTATCTGCCAAGCCCAGAGAGTTAAGTCTGAGAGCTGGGGCTGCCTTGCTAGCCACACTCTTGCACAGGGCCCCATGTATCTGCCAAGCCCAGAGAGTTAAGTCTGAGAGCTGGGGCTGCCTTGCTAGCCACACTCTTGCACAGGGGCCCCATGTATCTGCCAAGCCCAGAGAGTTAAGTCTGAGAGCTGGGGCTGCCTTGCTAGCCACACTCTTGCACAGGGGCCCCATGTATCTGCCAAGCCCAGAGAGTTAAGTCTGAGAGCTGGGGCTGCCTTGCTAGCCACACTCTTGCACAGGGGCCCCATGTATCTGCCAAGCCCAGAGAGTTAAGTCTGAGAGCTGGGGCTGCCTTGCTAGCCACACTCTTGCACAGGGCCCCATGTATCTGCCAAGCCCAGAGAGTTAAGTCTGAGAGCTGGGGCTGCCTTGCTAGCCACACTCTTGCACAGGGGCCCCATGTATCTGCCAAGCCCAGAGAGTTAAGTCTGAGAGCTGGGGCTGCCTTGCTAGCCACACTCTTGCACAGGGCCCCATGTATCTGCCAAGCCCAGAGAGTTAAGTCTGAGAGCTGGGGCTGCCTTGCTAGCCACACTCTTGCACAGGGCCCCATGTATCTGCCAAGCACAGAGAGTTAAGTCTGAGAGCTGGGGCTGCCTTGCTAGCCACACTCTTGCACAGGGGCCCATGTATCTGCCAAGCCCAGAGAGTTAAGTCTGAGAGCTGGGGCTGCCTTGCTAGCCACACTCTTGCACAGGGCCCCATGTATCTGCCAAGCACAGAGAGTTAAGTCTGAGAGCTGGGGCTGCCTTGCTAGCCACACTCTTGCACAGGGCCCCATGTATCTGCCAAGCCCAGAGAGTTAAGTCTGAGAGCTGGGGCTGCCTTGCTAGCCACACTCTTGCACAGGGGCCCCATGTATCTGCCAAGCCCAGAGAGTTAAGTCTGAGAGCTGGGGCTGCCTTGCTAGCCACACTCTTGCACAGGGCCCCATGTATCTGCCAAGCACAGAGAGTTAAGTCTGAGAGCTGGGGCTGCCTTGCTAGCCACACTCTTGCACAGGGCCCATGTATCTGCCAAGCCCAGAGAGTTAAGTCTGAGAGCTGGGGCTGCCTTGCTAGCCACACTCTTGCACAGGGGCCCCATGTATCTGCCAAGCCCAGAGAGTTAAGTCTGAGAGCTGGGGCTGCCTTGCTAGCCACACTCTTGCACAGGGCCCCATGTATCTGCCAAGCACAGAGAGTTAAGTCTGAGAGCTGGGGCTGCCTTGCTAGCCACACTCTTGCACAGGGGCCCATGTATCTGCCAAGCCCAGAGAGTTAAGTCTGAGAGCTGGGGCTGCCTTGCTAGCCACACTCTTGCACAGGGGCCCCATGTATCTGCCAAGCCCAGAGAGTTAAGTCTGAGAGCTGGGGCTGCCTTGCTAGCCACACTCTTGCACAGGGGCCCCATGTATCTGCCAAGCCCAGAGAGTTAAGTCTGAGAGCTGGGGCTGCCTTGCTAGCCACACTCTTGCACAGGGGCCCCATGTATCTGCCAAGCCCAGAGAGTTAAGTCTGAGAGCTGGGGCTGCCTTGCTAGCCACACTCTTGCACAGGGCCCATGTATCTGCCAAGCCCAAGCTTTAGGGGCAGCCCCTGGAGAGGCACATGGTTTCCTAAAGGCAGAGGACGCTGAGAAGGCAGAAGTCATAATATCAGCCTAAGCAGGAGGAACAGCTGGGAAGGGCCCAAGTGATTTGGGATGAGGATTTTGTTTGTTTGTTTGTTTGTTTGGAGACAGAGTCTTGCACTGTCGCCCAGGCAGGAGTGCAGTGGTGCGATCTCAGCTCATTGCAACTTCCGCCTCCCGGGTTCAAGCGATTCTCCTGCCTCAGCCTCCCAAGTAGCTGAGATTACAGGTACTCGCCACCACGGCTGGCTAATTTTTTTGTATTTTTAGTAGAAACAGTGTTTCACTATGTTGGTCAGGCTAGTCTCGAACTCCTGACCTTGTGATCCGCCCGCCTCAGCCTCCCAAAGTGCTGGGATTACAGGCATGAGCCACTGCAACCAGCCAGGGATGCAGACTTTTAAAGAGGATGAGAAAGGGCTCTGGAGACACTCACCATAGCCTGCGTAGAGGACAGCAGAGAAAAGAACAACATGATGTTAAAGGCTCGAAAGGGCATGAAAACTTTCAGAGGCAACTGAGAGGTTCTTCCCTATAGTCCAAAGCAGGGAGCATTTCCCAATCCACTCTGCTTCTGTCCACTAAAAACTGTCTTCAACCCAGACCACTGGCCAGGACCCAAAGCCTAGAGCACCTACTCTAAGGAGTATTATGCCATAAAGCCAAAGATAGGGCAAAAGACAGAGAGGGATAGCAAGAAATAAACTAGATACTTGCTCATGGGCAAACAGTGAGAAAGGATGAGGAAAAAAAGTAGGAAGAAGAGGAAGAAAAAAAAGAGGAGATGAGAGACATTAAGGAAAGGAAAATGGTATTGAAGAAGACATGGCATCAGAATTTATCTTCAACCAGCTAGATGAAGAGCTAGTGGAAGAAGAGGTACATTAGAAAGGAGGAGTCGGGCATGGTGGCTCACGCCTGTAATCCCAGCACTTTGGGAAGCTGAGGCAGGAGGATCACTTGAGCCCGGGAGTTTGAGACCAGCCTGGGTAACAGGGACTCCGTCTCTATAAAAAAAAAAAAAAAGAAAGAAAGAAAGAGAGAGAAAGGAGAAGATGAACAAATGGTAAGAAATAATGGAAGGGAAGAAAAATGATGAAGAGAAAATGGCAGATGATACTTTCATTCGGTCAACTAAGGAGGGAGAAACTAGTGGAGCAGGAAATGGGGAAGAGGGAAGAGGGGTGGTTAGGAAAAACAATAGATAGAATAGAGAGAAAAAAGAAAACAGAAACAGAAAATGGTAATAAGGGAAAAGGGTTCACATTTAACTGAATCCTTACACCCGATTTCTAGCTTTAGAGCTCTGAGAGAACCTGGACCTCACTTCACCCCCAACTACCCACAAGGCTACAGAAAATTCCTTGGGTTGTTTGTGCCTCAGAAGGTATGACCCAGAATGGGGCTTCTGGTCATCCTGGGAGGATGGGATGGAGGCCCTGGGATCAGCTTTAACTCTTAAGCCTGTTTCAATTCAATTCCACAAATTTTTATCATTGCCTCTCAGTGCCTGACACTAGGTTACAGAGATAGTCTCAAAAGCCTATGTCTTGAGAAGAGACTTTTGCTTGACTTCCAAGAAGGCATCAAGCTCCAGTCATGCTCATCCCATACCAAGCTCAATGATCAAGAGGTCAAGGGCTGGAGGCAATTTCCATTACAGGTCATCAAAGAAGGCTGTAGAGATACCTATAAGAGCTAGATGCCTATAGGAAGACACAAAATCCTAACTTTGAGAGCCCAAGTCACAAATATTCCAGGTAGGAGCTTGAGCTAATAAATTCAGGACTCTGACTAGGGAGTGAGGTAGAACACAGTCCCTGTGAAGCCACTGCTAAGTCTCCGAAGGCTTTAAATGATTGATCATCAGATCAATTTGAGTCATTAAATGGACGACTTCCAATCCTGACAGCTTGCCAAGGCCCAATGGGGGATACCCCAAGGCTACTGCCTATGCCTGCACAAGAGTCTTCACTCACCAGATCACTGACAAGTGGCAGTGGCTTCTTTCTGCGTAAATCTGGCATGCTGTCAATGCCATAGAGCCCTCCGGCTGGCCTGAGGAGAGAAGAAAATATGTCAGGACCGTCAGTCTTGCTTTGAGTTAGCTGGTGGGTTCAGTGTTCCATTCACCTTGCTCTCCCTCTCCCCAGAGGAAGATGAACTGACCTCTACCATGTGCTTTTAGGACGGGAAGGAAAGACAGAAAGTCAGGGAAATAAAGTCATGGAAGAGTGAGCAATAGAATCTGTTCTCACAGGACCCCTCAGTGTCTCTTACAGTTTCAGCTGAGAACTGAGGCTCTTTTATCCCAGTGATAGTTCAAGGCATTTCTATTTATTTGAAGGCACTTTTATGCTCCATAAGGCAAGGTAGGAATTGGCACTCAAGAGGGCTTCTCCCCACATTCAGGGCAAAGACACTGCTCCCCAAAGATAAGTCTTGCCAAGGCTGTGCTAGAACAGAACCCACAGGGTGGCTCTACGGCAAGAGTCTAGGTGAGTAAGACTATACCAGACAATGGCACATAGAAGGAGACCGTCTCCATCCAAGAGTAAAAGAGTCACCAGTTCTGTCTACCTAGGCCTCCTGAAGAAAAGCCTTCTCCATGGAGAAAGGAGCCCTCATAATCAAGTGTAATAGGGGAGGTGGTATGAGAGACTTCCAAAAGACCACCTAAGGGAAGAAAAAACAAAACAAAACACCATTTAGGAAGGAAACAGCAAAGGGACTGTATGAGTGTGGCCTAGCCCTATGGACACATCAACAGAGCCTGGAGAAAAATTACAGCTACAGCAGCTGGACATTTCTAAAACTTTTACACCTTTTCTATACTGATTAATTTTATTGTTCTTTTATAACAATATGCAATAAAAACAGAAAATGTACCCAAAAGAAACTACACTGAAATAACCTGGATTTTAACTCCAGTTCTTCTATTAATGTACTATGTCTTCTCCCAAAATTCCTTCTTCACTTTGGGCCTTGGTGACGCTTCTATAAAATGAGATGGATAAGCAACAAAAAACTCTCTGGCCTTAATGCAAAGAACTCATGTACTTGGTTTTAATGAGAGCAAAGACGTTGGGAAAGTTGGGTAGCTGGGCTGTATACCACGGCTGGTCTAAAGACAGAAATATCCCAACAGAAAAAGTAGGTACTTGTAGCTATCTAGGCAAAGAATGGAACCACAAATTGGGTCAAGTCCAGGAGTTGAAACAGGCCACTCAATATGCTGATTTCTAATAAAACAGCTCCCTGAACATAGGCAGTAGGCTTTGTTTTTAATGAGACTACCAGACTGAGGGAAGTTCTATACTTAGGACAGCTTCTAAGGACGAAGGTGAAAGAAAAGGAAGAAAGACAATAGGGAATCATTTAGAAAACTACTACATAGCTACATTCAGAAGTAGTCTGGATATGTCCCATTGACATGTGTGTATTTTACAATTATTAGAAGAAAAAAACTAAAGATCACTGAAGAAGCAACTGATGCCACAACTTTGTAGCTAATTCTAGAAACTACAATATGTATCTCTTAAGGCAAGAAGTTTTTTTTTTAAACATAAATGATCTTTCAATAAAAGAAGAAGGGGGTAGCTCATTCAATGATTCACCCTTGATTAAAAGAAGACAAACTAAAAAAAAAAAAAACAGATACTGACAAAGCTGCAGGGAAAAGAGAACACTTATACACTGTTGGCAGGAGTGTAAATTAGTTCAACCGTTGTGGAAAGCAGTGTGGTGATTCCTCAAAGAACTAAAAACAGAACAACCATTCGACTCAACAATCCCATTATTGGGTATATACCCAAAGGAATATACAGTGTTCTACCATAAAGACAGATGGATGAGTATGTTCGCTGCAGCATTATTCACAATAGCAAAGACATGGAATCAAGCTAAATGCCCATCAGTGGCACACTGGATAAAGAAAATGTGATACATATACACCGCAGAATACTATGTGGCCATAAAAAAGAACGAGATCATGTCCTTTGCAGGAACATGGCTGGAGCTGGAGGCCACTATTCTTAGCAAACTAATGCAGGAACAGAAAACCAAACACTGCATGTTCTCTCTTATAAGTGGGAGCTAAATGATGAGAACACATGGACACAAAGAGGGTAACAACAGACACGGGCCTACTTGAGGGTGAAGGGTAGGAGGAGGGAGAGGAGCAGAAAAAATAACTATTGTTATAGTACTTGGGTGATGAAATAATCTGTACAACAAATCCCTGTGACACGAGTTTAACTATATAACAAACCTGCACATGTACCCCTGAACCTAAAACAAAAGTTAAAAAAAATTTTTTTTTAAAGATGACAAATTGCAAGGGAAAGGAGCATGTAAAAATATAGTAGATCATCTACCTGATCTTTCTTCTTCCCTGGCCACAAGAGGAAGCAACTACTGAGACTTCTGATGTCAGAAGCCTTTGTAGGAAAAAGGGAAAAGGAAGGTCTAGATAACTAATTGGTGGTATTTGTGGGAAGGAGTGGGGAATGAGAAGGTACTTGAACTCTCTTCTCTCTTTAAGAACAGTCAGTTACAGGCTACACTGAGCAGCTTAAAATGACTCTGGTACAATCACACAGGTCTGAAACTCCCAAACAAGAAGCACGGACAGAACATACAGAGCTCAGAAAGGGGTGTTACTTATATCCTGACTACAGTGGAATGGAATAAGTAGATGACTCACAACAGCTGGAGCAGGATCAAGCCTAGGAGTAACTTAATCAGCCACACCATCAACAATGGAATGGATAGAATGAATAAGATCTAGTATTGATAGCACAGCAGGGTGACTACAGTCAACAACAATTTATTGCACATTTTAAAATAACGAAAAGAGTGTAAGTGGATTGTAACAAAAAGAAAGGATAACTGCTTGAAGTGATGGATACCCCATTTACCCTGATGTGAGTATTACACACTGTATGCCTGTATCAAAATATCTAATGTAACCCATAAATAGACACACCTAGTATGTACCTACAAAAATTAAAAACAAATGAAATGGAAAGAAAATGTTTCCAAATGCAGATATTTTTCTAATTTCCTCTTTGTTCTACTTAAAGAGTATTTCACCACTATGAAAAGATGGACCAGAAATTATAGAGGCAAGGATGAGAAGGCCCCAAAGCTCCCTCCCCTGCACCAGGGTAACCATTCTGCAAAGTTCCCTCTTCTGCCTCCAAGGAATCCATCAGCAGAGTTCTCTCCTCTGCCTCAGAGAACCAACCAACCTATAGTGGAACCTTTTCCTTCCCCAGGATGCAGCTTATGAAGCTGGTTCCCCTGCTTCCCAGGGGAAAAGCTAAAAGCATCAAGAGATACTGAATAAAATCCACAGAAACCTTGCAGTGAATTACTTACCCTTCCGGGAGCCACTGAGGCAGAGAGGGGTCACCATCATCTGGAATCTTTAAAAAGAGATAGGAAACAAGTTAGATCCTGGGAAAGATGGGAGATTGCCTGTAATCTGAGCAGCGAGCAGTAGAGTACAAGCCCAGAGCAGTGTAAGTCACATTCACCATGTGGTGACAGCCTGTCTGACATCTAAACCAATGTCCTGATCAGTCAGGGCAACAAGCAGGCTGCTGAAATGAGTGGTACCTGTCTCCTTGGTGAATAGGAGATAGGGCAAAGCTCACTGAGTTTGCAGGGCTGAAGTCTACTGGAATGGCAGAACTCATATCACTCTTATATGAGCCATTAGTGTAGACAGCAGTAAACCAAGCACAGGAGAAGGGCCTACTTAGGCTTCCAGGCCTCACTAAAGCAAAAGGACACCTTCATATAGAGTCCAGTCTTCTTCCAGCTATATTCCTAAACTCCCTTAATGTCCCAGAGTCAGACCTGGTCTCTCTGGATTCCTATCTCATTTTGTGGTTGGATTTAGTTTGGGTGCCTTGAACCTCTGACTCACTGACACTAAGTATATTCTCTCTATTTAATAAATTCTACATAACAAGAGAACCCAGGGTAGATTAGACACTTGGATTATCATTCTAGTGAATTCTATAGGCCCTAGAATGAGAAGTCGAAACTTGAGACACCAAATAATTCAAGGAAGGGAACAGTTCAAAAATCACCTTTTAAAGGTTTCTGTACCAAAAGAAAACAAAATAAACAAAAGCAAATCCTTCAAGCAGCATGCAGAAAGGTCCAAAGCTGCCAGAGTGCTCCAGAGGTCCAATAGCACATGCTTTTTTCAGGCTAACAGGTCTGGGGCTTCCTGCCCCTCCTTGTTTTCTTCCACTCCCAACAACTTCCCTGCCTCCTAACTATCCTGGAGCAAATGAGCTCCAGAAGGGAGGCAGAATTAAGGTGCTTAGCTTTGAACAGTGAGTGATGTTTTGGAGAGCTAAAGTGGGGAGAAGTTATGGATAACAATGAGGCAATACAGAGGAGAATAGGGACAGATAGGACAGAGCTAATGGTGATGGAAAAGTGAGGGAGAATTACCTGGGTCAGCAATAGGCTCACATGAATTTTGGATTTAAGACTCCTCTTAGGTTGTCTATGTTTTAATCAAGCCTATCTCCCTACGGACCAGAGCCCCCATTCCACCCCATCTGCCTCCTATCCTTTCTATAGGTAGGATGATATTGGTAATGGGAGGGCCAGGTCCAAAAGGCAGCCAGAAGTGGCTGAAGCAAAAGACAATGGGGATAGTATAGAAGAAACAACAGTAGGTGGGAAGAAACAACAGTAGGTGGGAAATAACAGAAAAGCTGCAAGTCTTCTAAGGTTGCTTATGGAAGGGGTAAGGGTTGAGTGTTGGGGAGCCAATCCCTAAATCCCCAGATCTTACCAACCAGAACTTATTTTCCCTCTGGAAATAGCCACCGTACTCAGCAGGTTCTTATTTCCTATCCAGAGTGAGATATTTGCCAGAAACCACTGGGCTTAAGGAAACAAAGTCACAAAAAGTCTGAGAACCTGGCTCAGATCATGCACATTTCCTGTGCTCAGAAGGGATAACAACATGTCTGCAAAAGCCTGCACACATAGTACACACAACTTGTGTCTGAAGGAAACACATGGTGAGCATGGATCCTAGGCTTATGGCTTCAGAACATAAGCTTCAGAGTATTCAGTGATCTGCAGAAACTCATCTGAGGAGGATTCACAGTGTTTACTATGGCCCAAATCACAGGCAAAGCAAACCCTCATGGTCTTCAAGAGCCAGTGCTTGCAAGCACAGGGCATTAGTATACTATGCATTCACATGGTTTGGGGAAACCACGTAACAGGGCTACAGAAGCCTGTGCTCAACAGAGAGGTCAGGAAGCCTGTTCAGAGCACAAGTACCTTCACACTTAGGGCCTCAGGCAAGAGGCAGGAAATGCCTGCAGCAAAGCCTGCTCTCAAATACAAAGTACACATGCGTGCTGGGCTCAGCCAAGGTTTTACAGCATATGCCAGAGTTTGCAGCAACAGGTAGAAAATGGACACACACTGAGCTGAGTAGGAGAAAAGGAGGGTAATCAGTGTCTGGGGGAGTCAAACTGAGTATAAGCACACACATGCTACATTGAATGCACACCCATGCTGGTGCACACACATTCTCGCAGTGTGCTCCAGGGATATCTGCAGGAGCACACACAAGCAAGGAGCATGCACACAAACTGCTTTTCAGAAAAATAGACTGCATGAGCCAAAGCTCAGAGGCACAGATCATGCACGCACATGTGCATGTACACACACACACACACATACACACACACATACAGTGCTTGGGAAGGAGGGGAGGGAAATAGACAAAAAAGGACGACCCAAAGGGTCATAGGCACAACCTGAAGGGCTCCTCGCTTTTCTTCTGCAAGGAGAGAAAGAGCAGAAAAAAGGGCAGAAAGGTTAGTAGAGTCAGTCCTATAAGTAGGGAACCCAAAGAAAATGCCAGCTAAACTCCAAGGGACATGGAAGAGAGGGAGAGGTCCTCGGGACAACTAGGCAGTTCATAGAGCCCAGCTGACTGGCTTCCAGAATCCTTCCTGCCTGTATTTGCTGGCCCAGGATTTTTAGTTTGGAACATCCCTGGAGATGTTCCAAACTAAATCAAGGGACAAAATCTACCCAGGGGTTCCAGTCATCCTTTTCCCATTTCCAAAGTGGCCTGCATCAAGGGTCAGGGCTGCCAAGGTTGCAAGACCAGATTTGTTACCAATGACCACTCCAACAGACTATCTAAGCTGGCTGAGCACAGAGTGATTTCCTTCCTCAGAAGCCACGTGAGCTTATTCTAGATCTGGTATAAGTCCTCAAACTCCAAAGGCCCTGGTGACTGAGCCTTTTCCATTTTGCAATGCAGGCTTGGCCATGCATTCACTCAATGAGCTCTGGCCCGTTTCTCGGACCTGAAATTAAGTTGGACCAGGGTAGGGCCTGGAGTTAAGTCCAGGACCAGGATGCTGAATGGCTACAGGCCTGGGGGCATCGACTGGCTGCTTTCCTAATAGAAATCACAGTGATCTAGATGATAAAACCATGACTGCAATCCCAAATCTGATTATTTATCAAACCCAGGACAATACTCTAAAGGAAACTGACACTTCCAGAAGGGCCCGATCAAGCCATAACAGGATAAAAATAAAGCCCAGAGATTACTCCTTTCCTATTCATCAGAGACTACATTGCCTTCTAGGCCATACATGGATAGGCCCACAGGCTTCCTTCTGTAAGGAAAGTCCACCCACCTTGGTCCATTAGTGCCCCTCCATTTTCTTTTCTCTTTTAAAGGCCCATTGATGTCACATCACAAGTAGAGGGGAGAATTCAAGAATCGAATTCACAGGTTCCCAATTTTTCAAGCTATTTCTGCTTACTTAATGGGTCACCTGTCCTGGACTAGGTGACAAGGAATCCTCCAAAACAGTGCAGCTCCAGGAAGGTGGGAAAGATGAGAAAGACACTCCCTGGAATGGGGACATATCTCTTCCATATCTACATCTCAACCCCCCCAGGATAATGTGTTCCTTTTGAGTAAGAAAATTAGGCAAACAATCCTTTAACTGACCCCATGACTCAAACTGGAAATGTACCTCTCCCCCTTCACTATCTTAAATATATTCTACAACCATGTCAAAGTTGATTGTGTCCTTCTGTTCTCCACAGGTTTCCCCATAATGCCTAAAGATTAAAATCAAATCAATCCATTGACAGAGCCGTCACGGCTCTCCATGATCTGGCCCAAATCCCCAAATTCCTCTCCTCTGCCCTCTTTCTTGACCCCATATACATTCCTACAATCTAATTGTCTTGTTTCACAAAGACGTCACATACTCAAAACCCCAAATTTTTATTTACTCATTCTGTTCCATTAGCCTGAAATAGCATCTCACACCTCCTTTCCATAGAGGAAAATCCAACTCTTCCTCCAAGGCATAGTTCTGGGAAGCCTTCTCTGATGCCCACCCAAGCAAGAGTTAATAAGGCCATCCTAGTGCACCTAAGTTACATTCATCCTTCTCATTGGTATTTAACACATAATGCCTTGACAAGTCCCACCATTGTACAGATGAGAACCAGAGCAAATAGATGCAGATTTTTTTTTTTTTTTTTTTTGAGACGGAGTCTCGCTCTATTGCCCAGGCTAGAGTGCAGTGGTGCGATCTCGGCTCACTGCAAGCTCCACCTCCTGGGTTCACACCATTCTCCTGCCTCAGCCTCCCAAGTAGCTGGGACTACAGGCGCCCACCACCATGCCCAGCTAATTTTTTGTATTTACAGGGTTTCACTGTGTTAGCCAGGATGGTCTTGATCTCCTGACCTTGTGATCCGCCCACCTCGGCCTCCCAAAGTGCTGGGATTACAGGCGTGAGCCACCACGCCCCGCCCTAGATGCAGATTTTTAACTTCAACTGGGCCCTCTGTGTCACTTGATAAGTCTCTTCTTCCATTAGTCAGCTCCCTCTTCCACTTCTCAAAGGAGTTATACCTAACCTTCAGATACCTACTTTATCACAACACATTAACCACTGCTTAGTGTGTATCACCTAGATATCGCATGCTTAGTTCAAATTCAACATATCCAAACACTAAACTTCTATCTTCCATCTCTAAACGTCTCCTCCTGTCCCCAGCCAGACAATGGATCTCTCCCTCTCTGCACTCTGTCCCTATCCAATCACTCAGCCCTGTACTTTTTACCTCCTAAATATCTCTGGCATCCACTGCTGCCTTTCCATTTCACACTGCCACTATCATCTCTTAACTGGACTATAACAGGAGACTCCAAGCTGATCTCTCTGCCACTAGACTTGCTCCTCTCCAATCCATACTCCACATTTCCCATTTCGAAATTCTGATCGCATTTTTTTCTTTGCTTAATTGCATCAATTCTCCCCGTTGCTTACTGTAGCACATAAAGTGCTTCAAGATTTGTACTTCCCCTACCGTTCTAGCTTACTTTCCTTCCGCTCCTCACGTGTCCTGTATTCAAGTCTTACTGAACATTCTCCATCACATCTGAGACTTTTCACACCTCCCTCCCACACCCAGCCTACTGGGTGGACTCAGGCATATTCCCTAAGACTTAGTTCAAATACTAATGACTCTGTGAAATTTCTGTCTGCTTTCCTTCCCAAGGTAGGATTAAGTGCCTCTCCACTAGCTGCCCTGGTCTCCACCATTCTATGTCCACACTTCTAAGACAGTATGTTGTTAATACTGTTTTGTAGTATCATATATTGTAGTTGTCTGTATAAACATCTTCCTTTATAATATTTCTCACTTTATACTACTTCTTCAGAAAAAAGGATTATATATTATTTCACCTTTGTAGCCTGAGGGCTTAGCACATCGCCTATCATTTCTATGTAGTAAAAGAAAACTATAACTTTCAGGACTTAGAAAACAACAGCTATTCTAAGAAGTGTCTCTTGCCCAACCAGAGAAGGTATAAGTCTCTTAACCAGTAGTCTGTACCATTTTCCAGACCCTGAGGAACTGCTATACTGGCTATTCAGTTTGTCCTACCCGTTGGACAAACATTAAAAAACAACTTTTTTTCTTAAGAATCAAACTTTCTGTGCTTCCCAACTCCCTAAAATGCCTTAGGATTTTTCCACTTAGATTTAGTTTGCAGGTTAAGTTATAAATGTCTACAAAACAACTGCTTTGCAGGAAAATCCCTGACCCCCTAAGAATGATCTCTCTCACTGTTCCAGACAGTCCATTTTATAAGGAAGTGACATACCTCCTCATCAGCACTCCCCTCAGTATACCCAATAATACAATCTTAACTCCATTATTGAGAGTCAAAAGACTTGAGACGTTCAACTTATTTGAGCCTACATTTCCTTAACTATAAAAAGATAGGTATATGAACAACTACCTCCCAGGGTTATTGCAAGGATTCATTTCTTAAGAACCTATTATACTAAGGGCTGGTCATGGTGGCTCATGCCTATAATCCCAACACTTTGGGAGACTAAGGCAGGAGGAAGGATAGCTTGAGGTCAGGAGCTCAAGACCAGCCTGGGTAACAAAGTGAGACCCCCATCTCTACAAAACATGAAAAAAATAGCTGGGTGTGGTGGCATATGCCTGTAGTGGTGGCATGTGCCTGCACGTGCAGTGCAGCTACTTGAGACTGGGGTGGGAGGATCCATTGAGACCAGGAGATCAAGGCTGCAGTGAGCTCTGATCACTCCACTGCACTCCAGCCTGGGTGACAGACTGAGACTCTGTCTTTCAAAAAAAATTTTTAACTAAAAAAATTTTAAAAGAACCTAATGTGCACACTAGGCACTGTTCTCAATCAGTGCTGGTGATGTGGCAGTGAATGACACAAACTCCCTGATCCTGAAAAGCTTTTATTTTAGTAAGAGGAGCAGATAATAAACAATGATGAAGATGATGACAGTAGCTGATACTAATCAAACACTTATTTTGTATCTGGCATTTTATTTGGGTAAGCTCATTTATTTCTCACAACTCCACACTGGGTAAATACCATTATTACCTCCACTTCTTTGATAATTAAATTGAAGATCAGAGAGGTTAAGCAAGATGCCAGCAAGTGGCAAAGCCAAAATTCCTAACAGACATTCTTGTTCCAGGGTCTGCTTTCCATAAGAAATAACAATATACTATGTCACATGTGATAGGAACTTGGCTGAAAAATTCAGATAAGGGAAAAAGATAATGCCCCCTGATGATGGAGGTAGAGTTGTTATTAAAAATCCAAAAAATGGTTGTTAGGGCGGCCTCACTGATAGGTGATATCAAAGCAGACTTGAAAGAAATGAGTAAAGAAGCCATTTGGAGTTCTGGGAAAAAGTATTTTCGGAAGAACATATAGCAAATGCAAAGCCTGAGGTGAGAGCATAATTGGTGTGGAGAAACAGCAAATTTGCAATAAAGTACCAGTTCAAATAGGGCTCTACAGGCCTTTATAAGAATGCTGGTGTCCATTCTGAGTGAGACAGGAAATCATTGAGCAGAGAGGTGATATAACCTGACTCATGCTCTATGGGGATTACTCTGATTGTTGTGAGGAGAACAGACTGTAGAGGGACAAGGTTCTAGAAGCAGGGAGAGCAGTGAGACCACTGCAGTAATCTAGATGAGAGAAAATGGTGGCTTAAACAAGGATGACAGTGGTGGAGGTAGAGATAATGGCAAGATTCAAGATATTTTTTAAAAGTGGAGGAAGTGGAATTTACTAACGGACTGAATACAGGTTGTGAGAGAGAAGGGAGAGTCAAGAATGACTCTATGGATTGGGCCTGAATAGCTGCAAGAATAAAGATGCCACTCATGGGTAAGAAAGACAATAGGAAAGGCAGGTTTGGCAGGGGCTTCAGAAGAAGGATCAGGAGTTTGGCTTTGGATATGTCAAATGAGATGCCTATTTACATCCATAAGGAGGTGTTACGTGGATTTGGAGTCTGGTGTTCATGGAAGATGTTTGGGTTGGAGATATAAACCTGGGAATGCTTATGAAACTCGGGATTGAAAGATTATCATCTAGGAAGTGAGCATAGGAAGTCAAGATTGAATCCCAGGATGCTACAAGGTTGGGGAGAGGAAGAGCAAAGATAACTAAGAAGGAATGGCCAGTAATGTTGGGGGAGAGGAGGAAACCAAGACAGAGAGGTGTTCTGGAAGCCAAATGAAGAAAGTGTTTCAAAAAGAAGGAATTGAGCACAAGAACAGACTGAATATCAATAGAATAGAATTGAGTCCAGACATAAACTCTTACATTTATGGTCATTGATTTTTGACAAGAGTGGTAAGACTATTCAATGAAAAAAGAATAATCTTTTCAACAAATCATTCTGGGACAACTAGATACCCATATGCACAAGAATAAAGCTGGACTCCTACCTCATACTATGCACAAAAATTAACTCAAAACTGGCTGGGCGTGGTGGCTCAAGCCTCTAATCCCAGCACTTTGGGAAGCCAAGGTGGGAAGATCACTTCAGGTCAGGAGTTCGAGACCAGCCTGGCCAACATGGTGAAACCTCCTCTCTACTAAAAATACAAAAAATTAACCAGGCTTCGTGGTGGATGCCTGTAATCCCAGCTAGTCTACTCAGAAGGCTGAGGCAGAAGAATTGCTCGAACTCAGGAGGCGGAGGTTGCTGTGAGCCGAAATCACGCCACTGCACTCCAGCCTGGGCAACAGAGCAAAACTCCGTCTCAAAAAAAAAAAAAAAAAAAAATCATAGACCTAAATATAGGAGTAAAAACTATAAAACTCATAAAAAAAATAGGAGCAAATCTTTCTGACTTCAGATTAACCAATGATTTCTCAGCTATGACACCAAAAGCACAATCAAAACAAGAAAAAAATGGATAAATTGCACTTCACCAAAATTTAAAACTTTTGTGCTCTACTTCATACCCATTACAATGGCTATTACTTAAAAAAAACAAAACAGAAAATAACAAGTGTTGAAGAAAATGTAGAGAAATTGGAAGGAACCCTTGTGCCCTGATGGTGGGAACGTAAAACGGTGCAGCCACCATGGAAAATGGTATGGTGATTCTTCAAAAAATTAGAATTACCATAAAATTTGATCAATCCACTTTGGGGTACATAGCCAAAAGACTGAAAGCAGGGACTCAAAAAATATTTGTATACCACTGTTTATAGCAGCATTGTTCACAATAGCCAAAAGGTGGAAGCAATGTGTGTCCTGATGAGTGAACAGATAAATAAAATGTGATACATGTGTACAATGGAATACGATGCAGCCTTAAAAATTCCAGAGTGAAATTTCAGAGTGAAATTCTGACACATTACAACATAGATGAACCTTGAGGACATTACGCTAAGTGGAATAAGCCAGTCATAAAAGGACAAATGTTATTTGATTCCACTTACATGAGGTACTTAGATCAATCAAATTCATAGAGACAGAAAGTAGAGTAGTGGTTGCCAGGGACTGGGGTGAGATGGGATGAGGAGTTACTATTTAATAGGTATAGAGTTTCAGTTTTGCAAGATGAGAAGCATTCTGGAGATGAACGGTGGTTGCAGAACAATACGAATGTACTTGATGTTATGGAACTATATATTTTTAAATGGTTAAAATGTTCCACATAATATTCAGAAAAAACATGGTTTAAATAACACATTTTATGTTATGTATATTTTACCACAAAAAATTGTTTTTTGATTTTTAGTAAAGACAAGGTCTCACTATGTTGGCCAGGCTGGTCTCAAATTTCTGAGCTCAAGTGATCCTCTCGCCTCGGTCTCCCAAAGTGCTGGGATTACAGACATGAGCCAACAGACCTGGCCAATAGAATTTAAAAAAAAAAAAAAAAACAATAAAAAAATGTATGCTTCAAAGGACACTGTCAAGAAAGTGAAAAGACAACCCACAGAATGAGAGAAAATATTTACAAATAATATATCTGATAAGGGACTTATATCCAGAATATATAAAGAATTCTTACAGCTCAAAAACAAAACGAAAAAAAACCTCAATTTAAAAGTGGTCCAAGGCTTAAATAGACATTACTCCAAAGAAGATAGAAAAATGGCTGATGAGCACATGAAAAGATGCTCAACATCATTAGTCACTAGAGAAACACAAATCAAAACCACAATGAGACACCACTTCATATCCACTAGGATGGCTATAATAAAAAAGATAATAACAAGTGTTGCCAAGGATGTAGAGAAATTAGAACCTTCATATGTTACGGGTGGGAATGTAAATACTGCAATGACTTTGGAAAACAGTCTGGCAGTTCCTCAAATGGTAAACAGAATTACCATATGACCCAGCAATTTTACTTCTAGGTAAATACCCAAGAGAATTGAAAATATAGTTCCATAGAAAAACTTGTATACAAATGTTCATAGCAGCATTATTCATAATAAGCAAGAAGTGGTAATAATAACTCAAATGTCCGCCAACTGATGGATTTAAAAAATGTCCATCAATAAATATTGTTCAGCCAGAAAAAGAAATGAAGTACTGATACATGCTACAGCATCCTTAAAAACATCATGCCAGACACAAAAGGGCACATATTTTATAAACCCATTTATATGAAATGTACATAATAGGCAAATTCATAGAAACAGGAAGTAAATTAATGGTTGCCAGAGGCTGGGGGCAAAGAGAAGTGGGGAGTGACTGCCAATGGGTAAGAGGTTTCTTATGGGGTGATGGAAATGTTCTGAAATTAGATGGTGATGATGTCTGCATAACTATGAATAAACTAAAAACCATTCGATTCAATACTTTTTAAGGGACTTTAAGGTGAATTTTATGGCACATGAATTATAACTCAATAAAGCTGTTATAATAAAAAGAGGAAAGTGATCATCAACTGTGTCAAATTGCTGACTGATAAAAAGAAGACTGAAAATGAACCATTAGTTTGGCAATATGGTGGACATCTAATGGCCCTGATCAAAGCTATTTTGGTGGAGTGACAGGAATAAAAGAATTGAATTTTATACAATGCACATGAGAGTACTTAAAACAGTACCTGGCACATACCAAGAAAAAAAAGATGAAAACTAACTCAAATTAATCATAAGCTACAACTAGTAAGCTTAGGGCCTAAAAGATCCCAAGCAGAACAGTAAAGAAAGCAGAGTTTTCAAAAGCTTCGTTATGCTGGTAGTCTCTGTGATACTGAATCAGTTTACTAGGTTAGGGGACTGCTCCAGTGAAGTCTATGTTGGTGAGAGTCTGGCCTGTGTGCTTGTCCTGCTCTATGCAAGGGAGTGCTGGAGCACCCTGTCCATGATTCTGTCTGCAGCCCTCAGGCCAGACTGAGTACTGAGTCTTGGATAGGACCCAGAACTGTGACTTGCTTTCTTATTGGTGCTTTAGAAAACCTCCTTCTATTCATCAAGACTGCTGCTACTACCACCTGCCTACCATGGCACCACAAGTTTCTGCATTGCCTAGAAGGATGCAGCCCAGAAAGGAAACTCTGCAAGCTGAAGAGTTAGACACAAGTGTCCTCATCATTGGTGCTCATGCTAACATCAGCTCCCACCAATATTTAAAGAGCTTGTAAGAAGTATTGCTTTGATATTTGTTGTTTCTATTGTTGCTGTGCTGAAATAATTTCTCATTGCCTGGGAAGAAGAAAAAGAGGCTGCAAAGTTATGAAGACAGAGAAATCCCTCACAGCTGAGAAATTACTGCCTCAGAAAGCTTCCTGGAAGAGGTGATATATGTTGAAGAATAGGTAAATTCTGCTAGGTTGAAATGGCAAACATAGCATTTTATGTTAGAAGGAAGCATGTATATATGAATGTATTAAGAATAGAAAGTGCAAGGCAAATTTGTATGACAGCAAAGCTTCCTTTTGAAAGACTTATGGTGGGACAATGGGAGATAAGCCTGGAAATATAAACTAGAGACCAATTGCAGTGACCTTGAATGCAAAGTGAAGGAATTTAGACTCTTTTTGATAAGTTCTAAGAAGGAGCTCTAGGGAAATTTGAAAAGAGAATGACGTAATTTTCATTTTTTAAATGTAACTTTATGGCTTAGTATTATATTCATATGATTCAAATTCTAAAAATTAAAAGAAGGCACACAGAGAAAAATCTCCCTCCCATTCCATTTGTTCACCTAATACATTTCCCCATGGGCAACAATGTATCCGTTTCTTACATATCTTTCATTAGATAATCTATACATATACAAGCAGACATTATAAGTGTGTGTATTGTATTCTTTCCCTCTTTTTATACAAATGAAAGCATCTTATACATACTGCTCTGCACTTTGCTTTTTTTTGTATGTCAATATATCTTAGATAACTTTCCATTTCAGTAAAGAGCTACCACATTCTTTTTATAGCTACACAGTACTATATCCCATTGTTTGGACGTGCCAATAATTTATTTAACCAGTAATTCCTGATGAATTTTTAGGTTATTTTTAATCTTTGCTATTAAAAGCTATGCTTCAAAAATAGCCTTGTCCATATGTCACTTCCACATGTGAAAATGTGTCTGCAGGATACATTCCTGTAAGTGGTGTTGAGGACTTAAAGGGTATATATATATTTGTAATTTTGATAAATTTTGCCAATTACCTTCCTTAGAGATTATGCCAATTTATACTCCCATCCCACCAGCAACGTACAAGTGCATATTCCCTCACACCTTTGCCAACACAATATGCTTCACAATTTAGATGTTGCCTTAGGAAGATTAATCAGGTTATATGCATAAGAGGACAACCCCATTTAAATTTAAAACTGGATGAATATAGCATATGCTCTTTGGATAAATTTAATTTTGATTGGGAAGAGTAATTTTAAAGCTACATATCTCCAAACTGCCTAGAAAAATGTTCTCTTACTTCCTGTAGTCAAAAAACATTCCATTTGCCAGCTTGCAGGTGAGCAGCTTTTAGGGGGAGATGGAAGAAAGGGAATAAGACCTGTGGAGGGCAACGTTGGGCTCTAGGGCTAGGTCAGCACTATAAGCAGCTCCTGGATGCCCCAAATCAGAAATAAGGTTCTGTGTCAGCAAGTCAGGTACTAGGAAGAGACAGGTACCTGGGGTAGGGGAAATTCCCACAGGGGCCTATGAGAGAAGCCCCATCAGCTACTGGGGAAATGGCAATCTTATCTCAGCAACAAATCCACAGAGAAGAATTTTTAAATGCAACACAGGATTCTTTCTCAGCCCTTCTAGTGCCTGTGAGCAAATATGTGTCATCCCCAACTCCTGCCTCTCACTCCCACCCCTTCTTTACATCTGATATCCTAAAAGCTCTGCAGCTGCAAACTACTTCTGCTCCAGATGCTCCTCCCTCTTTTGAACAGGTATAGCACCACAACAAGAGACTGGAAGATAAGGACGGCTTCCTCTTGCTTGAGAACCCTCTTTAACTCCAATTCAAGCTTCCTCTTGCTTGAGAACCATCTTTCACTCCAATTCCCACAGGATTAGCTTAAGCTCTCTACTTGAGTAATTTAGCCTGATTCAAGCTATGGACGTCAACCAACACCTTATTAAACTGGCCACCACACCAGGTCTCATGCTGGCCAGATGGAGGTCATACTTTAGCCAGCTGGGACCCTGTTAAATAGTGACTCAGAATACCTGAGTGTATGTCTTCTACTGAGAGACGGTTTGCCTTCTGTACTAGCTCATGCAGAAGTTTTTTCTGCCTTAGTCTTTTCTCTCTTAGAACATTCTTAAAATTGTTGATGCACTTGTTGAGGTAAACGGTCTCTGTACACACTTGCTCTAGGCTCAGTCTGCCCTGCTTGGGAGATCCAGGCCTGGAACAAGTCTCACTTCCCAGACATGGAGCCAGAGCAACACTTGGCAAGGAGTTATTAGAAGCAAGAGAGAAGGTGCTTGGATCCTGAGGGGTTTGCTCTCCCTGTGTGGAGACGCCAACTCCACCAGAGACCACACTGAGCAAGCTTTCACTCCCCTGACTCCCAGGGCTCTCCAGTGAGCAATCCTGGGCACCCCCTGAACTCACTGTCCCAAGAAGTCGATCACTGTTCTCTGACTGGGAACCACTCTCATTGCTTTCCAGGTCCTCAGGACTGATGGACCCACTGTTCTCCAGCTTCTGAAACACACCCTGCAGAGCAGAACGAAAGTGGTGAATTGCTCGGCCCAGTTTACTTGTATAAAACTTGATTTCCACATCCTCATCCTCCTGAGAGCCACCCAGAACACAAGAGGACTTGTCAAAGACATCCTTGAGGACGTGAGCAGCACATTCCTCCTCTTCATTCAGGTCAATATGAACCATGTCACTGAAAGTCTCAGGCCCTATGATAATTTCCTCCATCATGCTGTCACAGCTCAGAGCTGCAAGCCTTCTGGACTTGTCTGCCAAAAGGTCCTCTAGTTCCTTTGAGCTCAGAATATCGAGCCCAGCTTCGCAGCCCAGGAGCTTGTCCTCTGCGTTTATTCTCTCTGTCTTCAGTAACCCAGACAATGACAGGCAGCTGCTGGCCTCACTTTTATCGTGGCAGTCATTTTCTGGTTTTCCTACTTTACATGCTTCATGTTTTTGGCTGTACTGTTTGAAAAACTGGGACTTCCCAGAAGCCTCCTCTTTTGAGATTAATACTAGGGCAGGTTCCTCAAACTGATGGGGGGTAGACAGAGAAGCCTTTTTCTCTGACAGTTCATCACAGCTGCCACTGATAACTTGAGATGTTCTTGATGCTCCTTTTATTTCATCCCCTAGCTTGGGCACATCACTTTCCTTTGATAAATTGTTCTTGAGTAGAAAGCAAGGGCCTTGCTGCTCAGGGGCCTGGTGCTCTCTCTGTTGATCCTGAGCCTTCATCTGATATGTTCCTGTTATGGGTCCCCTGTCCCCTGTTTCCATCTGAAGAACTGGTTCATCCTGGTTTAAAGAAGTCTGACTATAATCCTGATGTTGTTGTTGAAAAAATGATATAGACTCCTTCTGGGGATTCTTATTACCCTGTGGGCAGCTTGGTTCTTCTCTGGTGGCAATTCGGACTCCCACATTCTGCAAGAGGATGGATTTCTGCAAGATGAAGTCTCTATGCTCTAGATGGGCAAGCTTCACAACAGTGGGCCTAGGGGAAGGGGATGTGCCTGCCCTGTAAGCCTTTTTAATGTACCTGTTGCACTGCATGCCATTAACACAAAGGTGCTTGGCTAGAAAGCTTTCCACCAGTTCCATAGTATTTTCTCCATCTTGTTCAGGAAGTCCGTACAAATACAGAATGGCTTCCTCACTGGGTCTGTCCACGTGGGGTTCCTGGGCCTTTTCACCCTCACACACCTTGGCCAGGGAACAGGTGCTCACCTGTAAGCCTTCTATTTCACTCAGTACTGAGTCTACACAGCTAGAGACTTCATCCACGGAACCCTGGACTTGGCTCAAGTGCTGCTGCAGCTCAGCAATCTCAGTCTGAAGACGGCTGATGCCTTGCAGCTCTCTGATGATGTATTCTACTACATCCCCCAAAGGTTCCCGCTGTTCACGGCTACAGCCTTGGCCATGGCCTCTGGACAAAAGGGTCTTGGTTTGGTTCCTCTCTGAGGGCTCCTGACAGCTTGTGGTAATGCTGACAGATGAGGGATCCTGAGAACCAGACCCTGAAACATAGGCAGTGGAGCCCAGAGGAAGCTGGCTGTTGTTCTGCTGCCCAAAGCTGCAAAGCTGGGCCAGGTCCCCATCTCTATCTCCACCAATGGCTAAGGCTGCTGACCCACAGCAAGGGGGCAGGGAGTTGTCCTCTGGTAAGGATCCAGCAGGGCCAGAGGATTTGCTCTTGGTGCCACACATGGTCTCTGCCTTAGCCTTATCTGGGGAAAGCCTGGAGGAGGGTCCCAAGGTAACCATGATTTCTTCCTCTGACTCTTGCAACAATCGCTTCATTTTCTCCCTCAGGGTTTGAGGGGTTCTCTGCTTCTTCCTCTTATTTCTGGTCAGGATGCTTAATAGAGATTACCTTGGAAGGCAACAGCCTGTCCTGCTCTTTTCAGTTTGTTTCTAGCAATTATTGCTGGCTGATGCTTTGGGCTTAGCCCACAGTGCTGCCTGGAATGGCCCCATGTGTGGCCTCCAAACCTCGCACATGCCCCTGGATCCTGGCTTGATTTATCCTGTAGCTAGTGAAAAAGGAAAATAGTGCACTCAGGTCAGAAAGTAGCAGGATGATTTTAGTTTGAATCAAGTTGTCAAGCAGGAATAAAAACATTATCTCCTAAGATTATAGGAATCAACCCTGACCTGCCTCCCAACCCCAGTCTTAAAGGCTATGGGCAGTCAGTTGTTTCTCATTAGCTTCCCCTTAGAGTATCAATGTAAAATTAAAATAAAGTCCTTGTGTTCTGGGCAAGTACCCAAAGTCAACGATATTGAGACAAGCTGCTGGGAGGTAGATGAAGTAAGGTCAATGAGTAAGTCCTTATTTGAACTTTCACAAAATTCAGTACTAGGAGTCTGGCTCAGAAATAAACAAACAAATGCTTAACCACCAAGGCTCAAATCACATACACAGTGAAAGACAAGACATGGAATGTTTCTTTCTTTCTTTCTTTTCCAGTTTGTTGTTCTGGTGAAGACTCCACTTACTCAAAAGTTTACCCCTGCCTGTGCTTATAGCACAAAGTATTTTCCCTTTGTTGAGTGATGGCAACCGTTCACTTGGAGAAAGGACAATGGTTTACGTATTTTAAACTTAGCAGGAAAAATATTTCTTTACCTAATTCTAGAATAAAGTGGCACAGTACGCACACACTGTCCAGACGTAGGTGGCATTTAGCATGAGAGAGGCAGGTAGAGAGGCAGGTAGCCAAAGAGACAGGTATCATGAACTCACAACTGGGGATGAAGGAGGTTTAGGCTTAGCTTGGTGCTCCTGAGCTCCACTTAATACTCTCTAAGGGCTTGCTGCAGCTAGTCAATATCTGGGTTTGGCTTTCCTGGCCCACAGAGGATCTTTCAGAGCACCACAATAAGTGATTGTCCAGCACACTGTCCACTGCTCAAGTATTAATAACAAAGGGTTGCTCTAATCCTCTGCCTGGCCCAGAGAGAATATCACATGGGACATGTGGGGGAGGGTTACCTCACAGAGGGCTCCAGGGTGCTTTACTCTTCTCCAATAAGGTAAAGACAGACTTGCCACCAGTCTAGTCCCTACACCCTAAGCTATTGGTGACTGCATTACAGAGGCAGAGACGATGATTACCTCATGTGGAGTGAGAATACATTCCCTTTTTACTGAGAATGTGGAGAGTGTACGGAAGCAGTAGAGTGGAAAGTACAAGGAGGAAAGCAGAGATCTAGGAGGCACATGGGACAACTAATATTCCAGTCCTGCTAGGTCTCCTGGGAGGGGTAAGATGGATTGGTGGGAGACATGCTACTCTTCATGTTCTTTGACCAGGGATGCTTTCCCCATTTTCTAGATTTGATGGAGATTTCTAAATCTTCTAAACTCTGCCTCCTTTTATTTTCCCAGTACTCAAGTTAATCCTAAAAGTGGGAAAATGCCTTAAAGAACACAGGCAGACTGCTCTCATGGCAACCCATTTTCAGGAAAGGCCACCACCTACATCTAGTCTGTGGGCCTGGAATTTAAAAGCATTGTGCTTCCCCAGACTAGGAGGAACCAGAAGGACGAGTCAGAGGACTTGGGATAAAGATGAAGCTGATTCTTTTTACTAGAAATAACTAGGCCAAGAACCAAGAGACAGAAACTGCATGTATTCCCATTTCACATCTCTCCTTTTCTTTCCAGCTTATCTAACAACTCTAATTCATTGAGGAATTCTTCATCTAAGAACCCTATCCATCCTGTGAGGCATTACTGCTTCACCTCAAGGTCTCATGGGGCCAGGAACAGCCATGCCCCTAATCTGGCCAACTCAGTCTAGCCTGCGAGGATGCACTACCTGCACAACCAGAATTTCTGGGTCTTGGGCTTGGTGCCCAGCTGCCTAGGTAGACCACGCTCCAAAGTCTAGAGGATGCCAAATTCTTCCTTCTCTCTTCCCACAAGGACAAAATCTGAATTTCCAAAGATACTCCTTTTTTTTTTTTTTTTTTTCCTCCCCAACCATGTAGGGATTGGGTATCCCTGATTTGCTCTTGGTATTAGCCATGAACAATGTTCCTGGCTTTACAAGGGCTGCAGCTGGCAAGTGGCCTTTCAAATTTGTCTTTAAAAAAGAAGTACTGCGGCTGGGCGTGGTGGCTCTCGCCTGTAATCCCAGCACTTTGGGAGGCCGAGGCAGGCAGATCACAAGGTCAGGAGTTTGAGACCAGCCTGGCCAATATGGTGAAACCCCCTCTCTATTAAAAATATAAAAATTAGCTGGGAGTGATGGCAGGTGCCTGTAATCCCAGCTACTCGGGAGGCTGAGGCAAGAGAATCACTTGAACCCAGGAGGCAGAGGTTGCGGTGAGCCAAGATCGCACCACTGCACTCCAGCCTGGGCAATAGAGCAAGACTGTCTCAAAAAAAAAAATTAGAATTGCTTAGTAAGCTTAGTAAACTAAGATGGAAGCTCTGTGTACAACTACATGAAGCCATGAGCAAGTGCTACTGGACTGGCATCAAGAGACTTAAGTTTGGGTCTTGTTCCACCAGTGACCTTGGATTAAACACTTGACCTCTATGTGAATTAGTTTCCTCATCTGTAAAGTGGGGGAGATAATTACAGGAATGTTATTATATAAAGCTAAAATGAGAGAACTGTACTTACTAAACTGTAAAGCACTGTCCTGTTGTTATTGCTACTGATGTGGCAAGTCCCTGAGTCAACAAAGTAGGGAAACCCATATCTAAAGCAAGCATCCAACCACCTAACTGGCACAATTTGAGTGAGCCATGACTTCTACTTCTGCCCCAGACTCCTGCCTTTCCCACTCCCTTCTAATGGTCTGCAGCAGTGCCTGGAATCCTACGAGGAGACTGTCACCCTTAAAGTTAGTCCTGCTTTCTCCTAGAAGTTTTCTTTTTAAGGTAAGGAGAAGGAGGAGTAAATCATTCAGTTCCCAACACCTCATTCAAGTGTCAGGAGGCCGGCCGTCTCTCAGACAGCCTGAACGCTGAGGAAGAGATAAATGGCTATAGAAGCCAAGCTTTATTTTTCCAATGCTGGTGAGGCCCAGAATTCATTGCCAGGTCTTCTAAGGCCAGCCTCACTTTGGTCCAGATAAGGCAGTTTGTCGGGAACACTAATGAAGCTGACTCCCCTGCTACTGCTACTGATTCAGTGTAGACCAGGCTAACCTGGGGCCTATCTGCTTCTGCCCCTCAGATCAATACTGCAGACATAAGTTTTTGTTTTGTTTTGTTTTGTTTTTGTTTTTGTTTTAGTAGAGATGGGGTTTCTCCATGTTGGTCAGGCTGGTCTCAAACTCCCGACCTCAGGTGATCCGCCCATCTCGCCTCCCAAAGTGCTAGGATTACAGGTGTGAGCCACCGTGCCCAGCCCTCCAGACATACTTGGCCTCATTTCCCGGACACCTTACAAGGTATTCCCTTCCAAACTACAGTGCTTACGACACTGGCTGGCCAGCCACACAGGGGGCAAATGGCATAGCCACTGGGTTCAGAGTCCTTTCCTGTGGCCTCCTGAAGACTGAAGGCAGAGCTGCCTGGTTCCCCATGTTACTGACAAATAGGAAATTTTCAACTAGAGCTGCCATAGCAGCTTCTCCCAGCCTCAAACAAAGATGCTTCCTTCCATATTAAACAAACAAAAGCCTCCACACCTTCTTATGAGTTGGTAGCCACTGCCCTGGGATGAACTTTGAACTCAAGAATCTCTTCTGGTGATATAGGAAGGGCACCAAACTCACTTAGTAATCCAGTCTTTGGGCTTTGAAGCAGGGGATGGAGCTCGATGTGATGCTCAGAGGACCAACCAGTCACTGTGCTGAGCTCAGTAGAATATCAGAAGCCAGAATGGGCTGAAAGGGCAACCCTCAGGGACAGGAGGCCCAATTCACCTCCTTCCCAGCCTCTCTTTGCTACTACTGTCCACAGAAGTGAAATGACAGGGAGCAAACTGTAAGAAGGACCATTTGATCTCCAAGTCAGTTGAACTGCATGAGTACTTACTGTGTGTGCCAGGGAGATAAGATGCAGTACCTGCTCTCTAATACATTAAGATTTGGAGAGAAAGATATATATAGATGATCACAATATAAAGTGATACATATTATAATAAAAGTTATAATAAAAAGTAAGCATTTAGCTGGGCTCACGCCTGTAATCACAACACTTTGGGAGGCCAAAGCAGGAAGATCCTTTGAGCCCAGGAGTTAGAGACCAGTATGGGCAAGGTAGGGAGATCACGTCTCTACAAAAAATAAAAAATTAGCTGGATGTGGTGGCATGTGCCTGTGGTCCCAGCTGCTTGGGAGGCTGAAGTGGGAGGATCGCTTGAGCACAGGAGGTTGAGGCTGTACTCCAGCTTGGGTGACAGAACAAGACCCTGTCTTTAAAAAAAAAAAAAATGAAAAAGAAAGTAAGCATTTAATTCAGGGGTTGGGAATGGAAAGGAGGTGAGAGGCCCAGCAAAACGAGGCATACAAGGCCACAGAAAAGTAATGTTTGAGCTGGGATGGGGTAAGTAGGCTCTGGAGTCCACCTAGCCTTGGAGTTTCCTTTAAGATACCCAATGTTATCTGTCTGCCCTACTTTGTTGGCCTATTGACTCTGGACAACTCTCCAAATTTCATACACACACATTCCGACAAAAACCATACCTTTCTGTGCTCTTTTCCTCAGGACTGCCTAAGGCTGGGAAAAATAAGGCAGCCCCTTTCAAGGACTATCTGCATTTGAAAAGGGAGCACATCAAAACAAAATGAATTAATCAAAAAGATTAAAGCTTTAATGATGGAAAGCTAACAATTACTGCAGGGAGTAGATCCCTTAAACCACATTGCATCACCACCAGCCTACCAACGAAAAAGAGAAAGGAAAACACCTCAGTTTTTTGAAATGGCTGATTCTTTTATCCTTCTCTCTGACTTATCAAATAAATGTGATTAGGAATGTAACTATTCCTTGTAAAAACTGCTTCTAACCCAAATCTGGCTTAGAGGAAACAACCAGGGGACCTCTGGGAAAAGGCCAGGACTCGATGTACATATATCAAGCAGCTTCCCAGTTTGTGTGAAACAATCCCAGCAAGCAGAAATCCAAGAGCTCTGAGCCCCCAACAGAGGACAGAGCATTTCTGGGCCATATATCAATTATGTTGTATGGCTAATATGGGCTAAGAGGAATGGATTTCTAGGGCCACAGCAGGTATGGGGATTCTCAGGATGTTAATCATCAAAATGATCAGGGCACAAGATATGGCAAGTGAGATTAGCCAAAGGGAATGAGAAATGCCCTAGATCAAAGGCTTAGCAAGGTCCCAGTATTGCAGTTCCTAGGACTTGCCATCCATCCTCATCAGCATTAAGAGCAGCCCCATTTATAGGCCAGAAGCTAGACATATACAAGGGAAAGAAAACTTCAAGCCTCTATATCCAAGAAGGGAGACAATCTCAGGTAACATACAGTTAAAAGACAGTGGCATGAGGGCGGACCTAGCCTTCAGAGGGAGGGCATATCAATACCTCATAATGGAGACTGAATGCCAGGCATGAGAGCAGGCTATTCTGTGCCCTGCCCAGGGCTCCCTTTCAGCAGTAGCAAGGTTTTTTATACCAAGGAGTATAACAAAGCATACAACAAATACAATCACACCCAGAATCTAACCCATGACAAAGACTCTTCTTTGACGAAACATAAGTCAGGCTCCTCTGAGTCCTCTTTCTGAGTAGGCCCTTGACATTGGCTCATTTAGTCCAGTTTTAACAAGAATCCAGCCAGGTCATTTTAGTGAAAATTCCCACCCTTGATTTCTGATCAAATTCCTCATCTTTCACCCTTAGTATCTGTCTATGCTTGGTATCTGACCAAATTTCTTATCCCCTACCCCTGATATCTTACCACCTTGGCCTGCCTTCAGCAAAAATCCTGTCAAGTAAGTTTAGCCAAAATCCCCTTTGATACTTCATCTTAGTAATTTCCGTCCACTGATACCCCACCCTGCTCCTTGGCTAAATTCCCACTTTTCCTTATATTTGGAGTTGAGCTCAATTGTTCACCCTCACTACAAAACCCCAGTATTGTCGTCCCCCCACATAAAGTCTGTCTTATCATCTTTAACAAGTGTCAAAATAATTTTTTGTTTAACACTCACATACCCTCTTTTTCCTTACTACCTCCTGCTCTTGTGAGTACACTGAAAAAGATACGAGTGCAGGAGAATCTACTCACTGAACACCCCACCACAAAAAAACCCATCTCTATCCTCTTCCTCTAGAATTTCCTTCATAGAACTCATTCCCATCTGATAGCTTGTTCATTATCTGTCTCCCTCCCTGACCTCTGTATCCCAAAACATGAGCAGGGACTTTGTTTTGTTCATAACTGTATCTTCAGCACCTAAAACAGTGCCTGTGCTAAAAACAAACAAACAAACAAACAAAAACCCAAAACAAACCAACCCTGTCATTGAATAAAAGAAACCAGAACATAGTTGGACAAACCCTTTAGAGGGTGTCTAGGCCTGGAATCTCACACTACATTGTGATCTAGGTTATGGAGTAGTCTTACCATCATAGTGCTTTTCTATACTTTGAATTTGAAAGTCTTTAGGCAGGGCAGGTGCTCTAGCTTCTCAAAAGCCCTACTACCCTTGACCTAGAATGAGACCCTTGTTGTCATTAATCTGTTTTGCTGTGGCAGACTACTAGATGGGAGGCTCCTATTCAAAGATCCGCAGCGGGTGTGAACTCCATTACATTGGAAGCTGTGTCTTATTTGTTTCTGAATTTCCAGTGCCTAGAACAGGGCATTACTATGCCTGACACACAGTGAGAATTCATTGTCATGGAAAGCATAAATGAATTGATGGCAGAGCCGAATTAGAATCCAGGTCTCCTAATTTTCTCATCCATTTCTGTTTCCATGACAACATGCTGCATTCAAGTTCTAGGTTTCCTTCTAGATTGATGGCTTACAGTCCTCTTTCATTGTAAAACTAAGGTGGAAATCTTTCCCCAGTTGTACTTAAAATTATCTGGGAACTCACTCAGGACAAAAAAAGAAAAAAGAAAAACAAAAAAAGAGTGTGGGGGCATGGCAGCACCGGTCTCTGCCAGACCATCAATTAGCTGGTATCTCTCCAGTGTATGAGACTGGCAGGGAGAGATCCTGCTGTGGTTCCTGTTACCCCAGGGATGCTGTGACAGGGCTCCCATCCCCTACCCCGAGTTGGAAAAGCTGCCCTGATCCTTGTGCTAGTGATGGGTGAGTTTAGAGCAGCACTGACTAACAGAAATATAATGTGAACCACATGTGTCATTTTAAAATTTCTAATCGCCACATAAAAAAGAAACAGGTAGAATTAATTTTAATATATTTTATCTAACCCAATAGCCAAAGTATTATTTCAACATATAATCAATATAAAAAATTATTAATCATATACTTGCATTTGTTTCCTATACTAAGTTCTTGAAATCTAGTATGTATCTTATGTTTAGAATGCATCTCAAATTAGACTAGCCACATTTTAAGTACTCAGCAGTCACATGTGGCCAGTAGCTACCACATTGGACAGCATGGGTCTAGAATTCTGGGGTGGGAAATACTCTGGAGAGCCTTCCAAACCTGGCAGTAGAAGCTCACTGCAAAGGGCACACTGTCATCCCAGAGGCAGTCGAATGTTACGTTCTTTCACTCATCTTTTCACCTGCTCACTTTGATCCTGGCTGGAAGCAGCCCATTTCCATTTTGTGTGAGGTTCAATCCTCCTCAAGGTACAAAAAACAAAGTATCAAGGCCCCAGCCTACAGAAGATGAGAGCTTTTCTCCCTCTCCACCTGACCCTTTCACGGTACCCCGCTTCTTTCCAATACTCTGCAGAAAACCACAGGATAAACCTGGTTACCTCAATAGATGCTTCCCCTTCACATGGAAAACTTAGAAACCTCTCACAGACAAGAACATAATTTCAATAAAACTGGACCAAGAGTACGCTATCCTATCCAACTCATACTAGAGGGACACACAGTAGTAAGAGATTATATTTGTTTAGAATTTTCAGTTTATATGATTCCTATTTTATCATCACAACAACCCTGTGAGGCAGGAGGTTTGTTGTTACTGTTCTGATTATACTGATTTCATAGATGAGAAAAATGAAGCTCAGAGAGGCTAAATGACTTGACCAAGGTCACTGAGTATAGCTAGGATTTAAAAGTGAGTCTTCAATCTGCAAAGTTAGTGCTCTTTCTTCATACATGCAAGACACAAGTGGACAGACTGTCTATTGCGCATGTGTGCATATATTCAAGACTGAGAAAACTCAAGATGACTTTTCTGTTTATATGGCATATACACACATGAAAGGGATGAATTAATACATTAGGATGGTGGTTTTTTCTCTTTCTCTCTGTCTCTCTCTCTCTTTCTCTCTCTCTCACATATACACATACAGGAAGGGTGGAAATGATACAGAATATATTCAAGAACAGAAAGGTTACTTGAGTACATGCATACACATAGGAGATGAAGGGATGGATTATATATGTATGTGCAAGTAGGGAGAGACGAATTTTGCATATTCATATATGCAAGCTGGATGAATGAGTTGTCTATACATATGCACATGCAGGAGAGGAATGGACAGGTCATTTATTCATAAACACATATGGACACATGAAAAAGGAGAAACAGATTATTTGTATATGAATATGCACACATCCAGAGGGTGGCTGGGTTATCTATATACATACAGGAAAGTACCACAGAGGAATGGATGGTCAGATTATCAGCACACAAATACATGCATGTGAAGATTCTACCCCAGTGCGGCATATGCTACTTTTCACTCATTATAATGACCCCCCTCACCAGCAAGTTGACTCAAGCAATTACGTAATTAATGTAGCTGCTCCATATTCCACCCACAAATGCTTTCCTTTTGCCCTGCTTGTTGTTCAGTCAGTCATACACACTCGGTACCACTTACCTTGCTGCTGCAACCAAAATAAGGGTTAAGGAAATTAAAAAAAAAAATTAAAACCATGAATTCTCAAGTTTTAGAAGGCAAATGCTGTCTTTAAGAGGAAATCCATCCAGGAGCACTCCTTGGTTTGACAGAGAAGCCACAGGACGAACTTTCTGAGCCAAAGCACCACTGCTTGCCCAACCGACAAACAGACCCAAGGAGCTAATATTCTCAGTTGCACCCAGCTGGCTGGCTCCACGGCACAAAGTTGATGACAGAAACAATGCCCTGCAAAAAAACCCCTCAGTGAAGGGCTTGGCAGGAGTCTCACTGGCTGCAAACGTAGAAATCTAACCTGGTCCACACCTCTCTGGCAAGGGGGATTCTGAGATCAGCCTGCTGAAGGCAACAGCAGCCAAACTTCAACTGGATGTGGAATTCTAACTCAATCGATTCTGGGCTTTGAGACTGAGGCAGAAAGCAGGGCAGCTCCTGCTCCTGCTGCTGCTCCTCCTCCTCTCCAGCTGCTTCCTGCCTGCAACCTCCCATAGGGCACCAGCCCTCCTCACACGTTCCTGGCGCACACACCCCCTTCCCAGCACACTCACGCACACACAACCCTTGCCAGCAAGCTCACTCACACACCCTTGGTAAGTGTCTCTCCCTTTTGCTAAATATAGATCTTACTCTCTCCCCTCCTCCATTTCCTTCCCTCGTTCTTCTCCTCCCTGCTTTCTTTTCCCCTATCCACCTCTCTCACATCTGGGCTATAGGATATAAACAGACACAGATGGAGACCTATACTTTCAGGAGCTCCTAGTCTCAGAGGGAAGCCGGAACACAGCATGCCAGCCGTGGAACTGCTGGAGCACAATACAAAGGGAGTCTTCCCTTCTACTGAGACAAGCTCTAAGTTGGTTGGTTGGTTGGTTTCGTGTATATATAATCTGTTGTCAGCATTTGGCAAAGCTGAAGGATAGGTACAGTGATCAAGTGCAGTTAAAATCAAACAGTGCCATGTTCTTGGAGTAGACATCTATTCCAGTTCTTACTGAACAACCACCACAAGAGAATCAACTGGAAAATAAGAGCTCCCTCAGGCTATGCCAAAGCAACAACCCGAGAGAAGGAGGGGAAGTTAGGTGAGCTGAGATGAACTCTGTATTGCAGAAGTCTAGACCAAAGATGGTTTCAGAATCCAGAATTAGGAACGAAGTAACCTAAAGTGATATCACCATGACCAAAAAGCTGCCTAAGGTTCAGGGCCCCTTTTATGACCCCAAATTTCATAACCCTTCTTTGCCAATGGATGCCCTATCTCCCTGGAGACTCACTAGCCAGGTGGCTCTCATGTGACCCTAATTCCTAATAATTCAACAATTCTAGTTAGGACTCACTGGGAAATTGAATGTCCTTATCTTCAAAGAACACTCAAGTTGTTCACTGCAACATAATGTCCGAGCACAAGCCAGGACCCCTTGAAGCTCTGTAGCATAAAATGCCAAATACATGAAATGTGATATCCCCTTTCCACTCTGCAACCATAGGACATGAAAAACATCGCATAATGAACCTAGATAACCTCAGAATCCTTCTCAATATAGAGCTCGATCAGCCAGTAACAATCCAGTGAAGTCATTCCTCTTCTGACTCCCCTGAGCTTGATCTTAAGAGAAAAGGCCCTCTTCCTCCTTAGGCCAACAGTACGTGGGCAAGTTTGATTTACCCAGCATGCCCAAACCAGGCTCTCAAACCTTGTGACTTCTGCTGCCCTGCAACATTCCTCATGGCAATCCACAACAGAGTATGGCCTCTTTAGCCCACAAACCAGGTAGTCAGTCTATGGGGACCATCCTAGGATCTGCCATTGCAGAACAGGCAGCCCTTTATGGTAGATAAAACAAGCATTTAAATTAAGAATGATTTGTTTGGCTTATCCAAGATCCTGAGAAGAAAGGGTTGATTTCAGAGCCAACATGTGCCTCCCTACTGCCTTCTTCCAATAACATTGCTTCCCCCTCAACCAAGGAAGAAAATTTAGATTCCAAGAGATGCTAAACAACCCATTTCTTAGCCATCCACCTCATTACACAGCCAACACTAACAGCAGAGCACATACCTCCTAACCTAGTTGGGAGCTGGCTAGATGACAGAAGAGATAAGGCCTGACAGCACAACTATAACCGCATCTAAACACAGAGGAAAAAAATAACTTGAAAACTGTCAAGTTTCTGTGGAAGTCACAGCCAATTTACTGTGGAGTTTCCCATCCTTCAGCCAGGAGAAGGAGGTAAAAGGTTTAAAACAAGAAATATAGGGAAGATTGATTAAATTAGAATTCCCTCCCCCAAATCTGCAGCCACTCATAAAGAGCCCAGAACAGTGGCTGTCACTATCAGGTTTGGTCAGGCTTCCTAGGCTAAGGAGAAGCTCAAACTTTCAAGAGTGGGAAAGATTCCCCAGAGGTAGGACCCTGCTAAAAGAACCTACTTCTTCCTGCCTAATTGACAAAGTGGCCCTAAGGCCTGGCTAAGGCCTCCAGATGGCATTTCTGAGGCTAATGGAACCCACCCTGTCTTGTCACCCAAACACATCCAGCCCATTTTTCTAAGCAGCTTGGGCTTTCCAGAAAAACAAAGGCTCAGGCAGTAGAAGACGTGGTTAGCACATGAGGCACAACAAATCTGCCATCTCCAGTTACAATCTTCAAACTTCACAGGAGAGCTCATGCAGCTTTGACCACAAATTACCTTTGTATCTATCCACCTTCCCATGTTCCAGCAAAAGCAAGAAACAGAGTAAGTGGGGAAGTGGCAAACAGTCAGTGGAAGCTCTTGTAAAAGAGCATGGCCCCTTCTGCCACTGTTCTACAGGGCCCACAGAGTGCCAGACACCACATGGCCAAAGGACATCAGGACTCCTCAGTGGACTAGCTCTTTGGGACAAGCAGGCAATTTGTTTTGTGAGCCACATGGGCAACAATGCAGCCCCCTCATCACAGTGGATCTGGCCCTGGGGAAGCCTGAGTAGGCCGAAAGGATGGGGTGCTTTTTAGAGGTAAGAAATAGCACAGCACCCACCTCAGTTGGGAAGCTTCCTCAAAGTAGGCTGCTCAGGAGCTAGCTGGGCAGAACTGGAAAAACAGATTGGGTTAAGAAGGAAAAGGCATTTATCCAGAAGCTGTGAAATGCTCTGAACAGACATTCTCAAGGTCTGGTTCCCAATTTAAATCCTTGCAGGGATCTTCGCCTAGAGACAGATGAGTCAAGATGGAAACTCAACATGATACACTGACACTCACGCAGAGTTGTGGGAAGGTTCAGACCTGCAGGAGTTCTAAAGGGGAGCCGAATGGGTGGGTTAGTCAGAAAACCACCTGGCATACAAAATTCATCTTCAGCTAAAGCAACTGAGTGGTGTCACAGAAATACTGGAGGAGGGCCTCACCAATCACAATTCTCCCTACTCATACAAACCAGTCTAAGTCTCCCTGACGTCAGATACAACTGGTCTAGAAGCAAAGAATATGCCTGCTCCAAACCTGGCCTGCCTTTTCAGGTGTCAATGCCAGAGACAGGCTGGGTCAGGACCAGCAGGTGCTTACCTTATTGTCCAATATCAACACAGACGCAGAGTACAAAGGATGGGTGCGGCCAATATCTATATCATGCAAGAGTCAGCTTGTGACTGTTTTCCTTCTCTACTGCTGAGGAAAGCCAGAAGCAACATGAAAAAGCTGACATATAGTCACACAGCTGGGATTTATTTCATGAGGAAGATGATTTTTCTGGTGGCTAAGAAAAGTCATTTTTCCCGCTGTAGAATGATGCCCTCCCTACACCATGGAGAAAGCATATGCAGCAGAGAATGACGGGCAGCAGGAGGTAATCCTGCTCCTTCCCTGAGGAGCATGCCATCCTAGGGGAGTGACAAGCCTGGCAGAGATGTGCTGACTTTACTGATGCACTAAGACATAGCTGCTTTGTTACCTAAACAGACCCGACAAGCTGCAAGGCAGGCCCTAAGAGTCATAAATTGCTGACAAGTCTTAGTCCTACAATCAGGTCAAGGACCATCCCTGATTAGCAGAAACTTGAACATAAGGAGCTGATAAACTTCTTGGAACTGGCCAGCTAACCAGTTAGGTTTTCAGCCTGTACCTCCAAAGGCTGTGGCCCCCTATCTATTTCAGGACCAAATAATTAACAATTCATGATCATAAGAAACCTATATGTCTACTGCCCTCTCACATAAACCCGATCAAAAGTCACAGCTCCCAGATTTAGGACTAATGCCGGTCCTAAAGTAGTATTTGTTTATATATATATCCCAGCCCAAGCCACAGAGTGCATTGGCCCTGCCTCAATCTCTATACCCAAAGGAAACAAAGAGGCCATATACCGAGGATCCTCTAAAAGGAATCCAAAATTTGACATCCCAGGGAGAAATGAACCTCTTGTACTAAGTGGAGACTAACTGGGTTAATATTGATCAAATATCCCCTCAGTTCTTTATGGCTTGTTCTAAGATACATCTAAGAATAAGATATAGGGCAAACCCAAATCTGGAGAATTCTCCTGGCTTAGGCCCCTGTTTCTATAGTCTTGTGGAAATATGTCCCTAACCAGCAGATGAGTTTCAAGTGTCTTCACATTCAATGAAGGGATCCCAAAGAGGTGGGTTTTTCCCTACAGGATTCTCCAAATATTCAAAAGTATCTGATATGAGGTACTGAATTACAGGAAGGTAGCTAATGTACAAAGGGGAAAAGAAGACTTAATGAAGGCGTATCCTTCACTGGGGATCTCTGACAGTAAGAGGGAAGCATGGTGGAAAGAAAGGGAAGCACTCAACTAGGTAAGTCTGAAGAGAGAACTACGTGTTTAGAGGACTAGGCTGCCAGCTCACCCATATCAACCCATGCAGAGATGACTTCTCTGCTCAGATACTGGATCATTGGAATCCATATATTCTAATTCTTTACCCAGTGAGAGAAGCCCCTGCAAAGCCCTTTGTGCCTCTGCCATAATCTATTTTACCTTCTTATCTATCAGTGTCTCCTCTGCAATCTTTAGTCCAGGCTTATTTCTCACTTCAACTACTGCAAAATATTCATTCTCCCTAGACTCCATTCCTCCAGAACCACCTCCCACTCACTCCTCTTTACCCTTGATCCGTGATGCACAATTTGCTAGGGGGATATTTCTAAGATGTACATAAGTTTTTGTCACTCATTTTCTTAAAATCCGTCAGTGACTGTGAAAAAAAAAAAAGTCCTAGTTCTTTACATGTTATCAAAGTTCTTTCTTGACCTGCCCATGTCTAGAGGAATTTGGCTTCCCAACACCCTAACTTTAGTCAAAGCAAACCCCTTGCACTCACTTAATGTGCCATCTCATCCTTTCTGTTTCCAGATGGCCCTATGTAGAGTGCCATCAGAGAGTAAACATCAGGATGGTGAGAAGGTAGGAACCTTTTCAAGTGCTTTGTCAGAAGATAAGACTTGTAAATAAACATGAAAAACTACTTTGGTACCTGTAATGGGTTGAATTGCCTGAACGTCTGTGTCACTCCAAAATTCATATGTTAAAATCCTAACCCTCAAGGTGATGACATTAGGAGGTGAGCCTTTGGGGAGGTGAACAGATCATGAAGGCAGAGCCCTAATGAATGGGATTAGTGCCTTTATAAAAGAGGCCCACAGGAGTTCTTTTGCCCCTTCCACCAGCTACTTGGGAAGCTGAGGTGGGAAGATAACCTAAGATATCCTAAGCCCAGGGCGTCAAGGCAGCAGTGAGCCATGATCACACCACTGCACTTCAACCTGGGTGACAGAGCGAGACTCTTTCTCGAAAAAATAAAATAAATAAAAAACAAAAAATAAATGAACACCTATTAAGTAACAACATCTTGTTAACAGGCGTAATGAAAAGATACAATCCTTGCCCTTAAGAAGTTCATAACCTAACGGGGGAAATGTTAAAGCAAGAGGCATTGTTATACCCATGTTATATATTCTGAGGGAGAGGAGTGTTAGATTTTATGTTTGACGGGGTAGTAAGAAAGGATATATAGAAGAGGAAGTGGAGGAGAAAAAAAAGATGGTAAGTACGGTTTGAACACATTGTATGAAGTGGCTATGAACATTCAGGTGACAATATCCACAGGAAGCTGGATAAAAAAGTCTGGAACTCATGAAAGAGGACTGAGGTAGAGATAGTAATTTGGGATTTATCAGTTACAGGTTAGGACATGGATGAGATTAACTAGAAAAGAAAATGAGGTAGAAAACAAAGCCTGGGAATTATCAAGTTTTAAGGGGCAAGCAGAGAAAGAGAAATGCTATGAAGAAATCAAAGATGGGGCCAGGCGCAGTGACTCAGGCCTGTAATCCCACCACTTATGGAGGCTGAAGTAGAAGGACTGAGGCCAGGAGTTCAAGACCAGCCTGGGCAACATAGGGGGACCCCCATCTCTACAAGAAAAATTTAAAAATTAGCCAGGTCTGGTGGCACATCCTTGTAGTCCTAGCTATTCTAATCCCAGCTACTTGGAGGCTGAAGCAGGAGGTCTGCCTGAGCCCAGGAGTTCGAGGTTACAGTGAGCCGTGATTGTGCCACTGCACTCCAGCTTGAGTGACAGACCAAGACCCCTTTAAAAAAAAAAAAAAAGGCCAAGAAGGAAGAATATTTTAGAGAGAAATCAGTCAACAGTTTTATCTCATCTGTCGTTAACAAATGCTCCAGGAGGTTGGTTTTCATCTAAAATGATCTTCCTAACTTGTCTTCTTTGGCTGTTTAAGTCTGAGTGTTCTCAGGTGAGGACTGAATAAACACATTTCCTTAGCATGCTTGAAGGTGACAACCAGCAAAGAGAAGAAGCAGCTTAAAGAATGGGCTACAACTTACCTCTTTCCCTTTGGCTTCAGGAAGTTTACTGAAGTCTTACAATATGACTGTACTTCAGGGCATAGTGGTAAATAGCAGCTGCATTGTCCACAGGAAGAATGCAACATGCCACTTGCAAGAGGCCATGGATCTCCCCCATGGCATATGCTTGCAAACACAGGAAGCAAGTTATCCCTTGATTTCCATCTTTAGAAGCTCATGTTATTTTATTTCTTGGCCATTTCCTGATACTTAACTGCTAACTTAGTATTCTCTGGGAATTCCTCTGAGAAGACTTCTCTGATCACCCTAATCCAAAGGGCTTGTTCCTTAAAGTCCTGTGGCAACTATTTTCAGTTAAAAGACTTAATTATTTCTTTTGCAATCAGTTACTTAGGGCCGTGTAATACCACTTAATTTTTTTAATTTTTTATTTGTTTTGAGACGGAGTCTCACTCTTGTCACCCAGCTGGAATGCAGTGGCGCGATCTCGGCTCACTGCAACCTCCACCTCCCGGGTTCAAGTGATTCTCCTCTCTCAGCCTCCTGAGTAGCTGGGATTACAGGTGCCCGCCACCAAGCCCGGATAATTTTTGTACTTTTAGTAGAGATGGGGGTTTCGCCATGTTGGCCAGGCTGGTCTGGAACTCCTGACCTCAGGTGATCCACTCGCCTCAGCCTCCCAAAGTGCTGGGATTACAGGCGTGAGCCACCGCGCCCGGCCACCTAATATTTTTAAGTGTTCATTCCATAAATCTTTGCTGAGTTTTTACTAAGTATCAGGAGGAATTGATGCTAAGAATTGGTGATCAGTTCTTGACCTCAAGAGCAATCTAGCAAAGGATTTAAAGCCTGTAAGTATGCAAGGAAAATACACGTAGAAAGCCAAAATAATAAGAAAATAAGTGGCCAGGAATGGGGTCTTCCCTGAACTGTTTTTCTACCTACATGCACTAGGGATATTAGGCAGAGAAGATACTCCAGGTGAATGTCTACTCTTAATTCCTAAGACTTGAGACTCAAACATCTGCATGGCCTTTTACCTTGATAAGCCAAGCTGGGCCAAAAGACGTCTTTAGCAGAAGAGGTTTTTAACCATTTCAAAAGGCAGGTCAAACAGTCTGCAACTTAAACTTTAGCCCCTGGGCCCATATTTTTTAATAGACATCTGAATTTCTCCAAGTGTAAGGGGAGGTACAAAAATGAATATCAGGGCTAGGTGCAGTGGCTCACGCCTGCAATCCCAGCACTTTGGGAGGCCAGAGCGGGCAGATCACCTGAGGTCAGGAGTTCAAGACCAGCCTGGCCAACATGGTAAAACCCTGTCTCTACTAAAAATATAAAAGTTAGCCAGTTATGGTGGTGGGCACCTGTAATCCCAGCTACTTGGGAGGCTGAGGCAGGAGAATCACTTGAACCAGGGAGGAGGAGGTTGCAGTAAGCCAAGATCACACCACTGCACTCCAGCCTGGGTGACAAGAGCAAGACTCCGTCTCAAAAAACAAAAAAAAAAACAAACAAAAAAATGAATATGAAAAGCCCAAAGCAGTTTTCTCAACCTGACTTTTCATTCCCAAGTTTGTTCCAAATGACAGAGCTCCTGCCTCCAGCATATTAGCCCAATTACAGTGCTTATTCTTCTTTGGGCCTGAAGTCAGACGGCAGCCTTCAGCAACTCCTAAAGGTTGGAGTGAGTGACTAATATGTATCATAAGGGACACAGATAAAATGTACAAGAATTTGAGAGAGGGAAATATTTCCAGCATTAGAAACACTGGTTTGGATGTGAGTCAGAGAAGGCTCTGTGAAGAGCATGATATCTGAGATTGATCCAAAGAATGGATAATATTTGGATATGTGGAAACTAAAAGGAAAGGATATTTAAGGCAGAGGATAGAGGATGGGTAAAGAGATGAAAGGGAGAAGGAGGAAGGCGTTGGAAAGAAAAGGATATTAACATTTACTGAATGCTAACAACACACCATGCCCTGCTCTACATGTATGATATTATTAAACCCTTATTCATCCACTGAGGCAACTATGATATTCAGAGATGAAAAAATTATGTTTCCAAAGGGCTGGGTAACTTGCCTAAGCCTAAGGTTACACAGGCCGTAAGTGGTGGAGAACTCAGGCTCTGTTGAGACTATAATTTAATTACCAATGTAAAGAAAAATTAATTTTTTTGAGGATAAACTTTCATTCACTTCTCTATTCACTCACTCACTCACTCATCTGCAAAGAGTTTAGTGGGTGCCAGGCATCAGGGATATAAAGTCAGACATTTTCTCTACTCTGTATTTTAATGCTATTTTTCATTTAGCTTTTATTTAAACTTTTTATTGAATGATAATATACATTATAATTATAACATAAACAAGTCAAAAGTGTACTTTTACATCCATGTAAACAGAATCTAGATCAAGAAAACAATATAACCAGAACTCCAGAAGCCTCCTGTGCTCATATCTAATCACTACAAATTCCATCCCCCAAAGGTAATCACTATCCTGATGTCTGACACCACAGGTTACTTTTTCCTGTTTTTGAACTTAATACAAAAAGAATCATACAAAATATATTATTTTAAGAAATATATAATCTTGAGGGCAAATGCTCACATAATTCCAGGACAATGTGATTAACATCAAAGTTGATTATATATGAAATGCTATAGAAAGATAAAAGATGAGACTCTAACTTGGCCTGGGCACTTTGGGAAAGGCTTCAAAGAATGTGACATCCAAGTTGAGCCCTTGGTATAAATGGTAGCCATGACTCGAGCTCTATTTCAGAAAGATAAATCTGGCAGTAATACATAAAATGGCTTCTAAGAAAATAAAAGCAAGGAAACCATTAGAAGACTAATACTATAGTCTAAGCAAATAAAGAGAACCCGAACACAAAGGGAAACAGAGAAGAGACAGAGACTGGTAAAAGAAACCACAAAGAAAAGAAGAGCAAGAGCTGGCAAATGATCTAAGTGGGAGGCAAGAGAGAAGGAAGAATAAAAAGTGACACCGTGATTTTGAGTGGGTGACTAGTAGAATGATGGTAACTTTAATATAAATAGAGAACAAAGGAAAAGGAATAGGCTCAAGAGGGAAGTTTTAAACATTGGGAAATTATAGTGAAAATAACTAGTAGATAACTAGACAGGAAGAATAGAGCCTAAGGAAAAAGGGAAGGTTTAGATTTGGGAACATCTGCTTACAAAGGCTAGTTGGGAGGCTGGGTGCAGTGGCTCAAGCCTGTAACCCTGGCACTTTGGGAGGCCGAGGCGGGTGGATTATTGGTGAATCCCCATCTGTACTAAAAATACAAAACAAATTAGCCAGACGTGGTGGCTCATGCCTGTAGTCCCAGCTACTTGGGAGGCTAAGGCAGGAGAATTGCTTGATCCTGGTAGGTGGAGGTTGCAGTGAGCTGAGATCGCACCATTGCACTCCAGCCTGGGCAAGAGCAAGACTCCGTTCAAAAAAAAAAAAGGCTAGTTGGAAGCCTACTGGTTACCTATCACAGTAGGTAGGACCAAGCACATTACCTTCCATAGAGTAGTTGCTTAATTAAAGATTCTTGATTAGAGGCTGAAGAGATGCAGTTTTGAGATTAAAAGTGATGCTTGAGGGAAGACTGTAGAAAGAAATGAGGCAGGAGCTAAGGAAGGAAGAGAATTGGGAGAATCTAAGAATAATAGAAGAAAATAGGAAACGAAAAAAGGGAGTTTTAAAAACACTATGGAATGCTGCACAGAAAGTAAGAATGAGGAAAAAGTGACTGAGAGAAAAAAGTATTTAAATACTTAACTGTTAATTATTTCTACCTCCCCTCTGGCCTATAAGCTCTTGGAGAATAGGAAAATGTCTTACAAATAGTCCCAACAGTACCCAGCAGTACCCACTTATTAGGGGCTTGATTTAAAACTGAAAAAGTGCTGGGCACAGTGGCACATGCCTGTAATACCAGCACTTTAGGAGGCCAAGGCAGGCAGATCGCTTGAGGCCAGGAGTTCAAGACCAGCCTGGCCAAGATGGCGAAACCCCATCTCTATTAAAAATACAAATTTAGCCGGGTGTGGTGATGCACTCCTGTAATCCCAGCTACATGGGAGGCTAAGGCACAAGAATCGCTTGAATCTGGAGGCAGAGGTTGCAGTCAGCCGAGATCACGCCACTACACTGCAGCCTGGGTGACAGAGCGAGACCTTGTCTCAAAAAACAAAAGAAAACGAAAAAACAAAACAAAACAAAAAACCCTGAATAATTACTTAAGTTGCTTCATTTTGGATAACTTTGGCAAAAGGATGTTTTTTCACAGAGGAACAGCCAGCAATGAATATTCTCATTGGTTGGATGGTCAAATAAGCAGCAGGAATCAGAGAAGGTGGTGGTAAAGAGTGAGAAAGGATGCTTTGCTTATTACTTGGAAGCAAGTAATTTTGTAGAGGAATCTGACTTATTCCATAAGAGTTAACTATGTACCTCCCTTTATTGATACTATGCCCAGAAAATACCTACCATTTGGAGCTAAGGCCCGCAGCCAGTATCTGATACCCTTTTCTCTAACTCTGGACAGGTTGATGACATTATGGCATCCCTTGGAAATGTTCTATGTGCTCCTTGGAAACCAGAGCCAAATCCACCCTTCCAAATGATCCACTGCCCCAAATCTCAGTCCAGGTGTGACATCCTATAATTCACCAGGCTCAGTCACAGCCCAGAACTAGAAGGTTTATAGAAGATCCACCATTGATGAACATCCAGATCCAGGCCATAAATGTGTCCAGAATATTTCAGAGGTAAAACAAACAAAAAACATCCGTATTGCTACTGACAAGTGCATGAAAGCTGCTCTTTGAAAATGTTCCCACATTGCACAGGTCAGCCTTTGGCTTCCGTTGACTTCTTCCTCTTCTTTGGTGGTCCCAGAGAAGCACTAACATACCAAATAGCCTCATTGGAGTCATCCATAGATAAGTTACCCTAGCAACCCTGTTACCACAGGGGAGACCTGGTGGCCTAGATCCCTATAACAGCCTGAAATCCTATGGCATTGGCTCATTGCCACATCAGCCAAAAAAACAGCAGTGTCAATGGATCCTCACTTAGCAGCAAAGGTTCCAGCCATGGTCAGCAATGACCTTTGATGGGTCATTCAGTTGCCTCAGGTCTAGGCTAGAAAGGTCATGACAGATCCCTAAAAGCCAACAGTTCTGGAAAGTACTAGGAGGCTGGCTAGAGACTTTTAAGCAAATGCTTGTAGAGCTTTGTACTCAAAAATGCATTTTTCTGTGATCTCACCAAAATCCTGTGAGAGAGAACAAGTCGCTATCCCTAATTTTATAACTGAGAAGAACAACAAATATGAATTTGTTAGTTATTTCAGATTTTAAGGGTGAGCTAATACAAAAACCCAGTTCTCGGCATTTCTATCCAGCCCTAAATTTTGTTAGTAACAATTTAACAGTAAACGGATACAAAAGACACAATATTGTGAATGGGCTCTTGGGCTCTGTGTCTACCAGTCTGGAAACCCTATTTCTCTCCAAGTGGACCTCAGGAAACAAATATTGACAGGCGAGAAATACTGAGGCTTGTGCCACCCTCTTCCCTCTTCTGCCATGGGAGGTATATTAGTTTTCTAGGGCTGCCAAAACAAAGTAGAACAGTCTGGGTGGCTTAACCAACTAAAATTTATTTTTGACCAGGCGTGGTGTAATCCCAGCACTTTGGGAGGCCAAGGGGGGCAGATTGTTTGAGCTTGGGAGTTCGAGACCAGCCTGGGCAACATAGAGAAACCCCATCTCCACAAAAAATATAAAAAATTAGCTGGGCATAGTGGCATGTACCTGTGGTCCCAGCTACTAGGGAGGCTGGGATGGGAGGACCACTTGAGCCTAGGAGGTGGAGGCTGTAGTGAGCCAAGATCGCACCACTGCACTCCAGCCTGGGCAACAGAGTGAGACCCTATCTCAAAAAAAAAAAAAATCTCACAATGCTGGATATTAGAAATCCAAGATCAAGATGCCAAGAAGGTTGATTTCTCCCAAGGCCTCTTTCCTTGGCTTGTCAATGGCCATCTTCTCTGCCTTCAAATGGTCTTTCCTCTCTGTGTCTGTGTCCTCATTTCTTCTTCTTCCAAGGACATTAGTCATAATGGAGTAAAGCCCACCCATATGACTTCAGTTTATATTAATTACCCACTTAACGACCCTATCTCCAAATAATGTCACATTCTAAGATACCTGGGGTTAGGTATCCAACCCCTGGGGAAGGTTAAGACTTCAACATTATGAACTTTGGGGTGGGAATGGGAACAAACTCAGCCCATGAGAGGAGGAAAAGGTGAAATCAGGAACTCAGTGGTATCAGATATTTAAAAGGCAAGGGAAGAAAGGGGACAATTCGGGGCTGGGCGAGGTGGCTCACGCATGTAATCCCAGCACTTTGGGAGGCCGAGGTGGGCGGATCACAAGGTCAGGAGATCGAGACCATCTTAGCTAACACAGTGAAACCCCATCTCTACTAAAAATACAAAAAAAAAATTAGCCAGGCATGGTGGCAGGCGCCTGTAGTCCCAGCTACTCGGGAGGCTGAGGCAGGAGAATGGCGTGAACCCAGGAGGCGGAGCTTGCAGTGAGCAGAGATCACACTACTGCACTCCAGCCTGGGCGACAGAGCCAGACTCTGTCAAAAAGAAAGGAAAGGGAAAGGGAAGGAAAAGAAAGGAAAAGAAAAGAAGGAAAGGAAGGAACAGAAGGAAGGGAAGAAAGGGAAGGAAGGGAGGAAGAAAGGGAAGGGAAGGAAGGGAGGGAGGAAGGAAGGAAGGAAGGAAGGAAGGAAGGAAGGAAGGAAGGAAGGAAGGAAGGAAGGAAGGAAGGGGACAATTCAGAACCAGAAGCCAGGCACTCTGGTTTTTTCCTTTCCTTTGTAGGGAAACTTTGGAATACAGTGGAAGGATCATCTCAGTTGGTGGCTTTGGAGAATGAGAACTAGACCAGTCTCAGCTTTCATCCCTACTCTGGGCTGCTGCTTAGCAGATATGGAGAACAGAAGCAGGAGAACCACATGAATCCTTCTGGCAGCTCTGCTCTTTTCAGTGTCAATAGAGGTGGGAGAGGTGGAGGGACTTTGCTCATGTTTAAAAGAAAATTTAGGCTGGGCATGGTGGCTCACGCCTGTAATCCCAGCACTTTGGTAGGTCAAGGTGGGAGGATCACCTGAGGTCAGGAATTCGAGACCAGCCTGGCCAACACGGTCAAACCCCATCTCTACTAAAAATACAAAAAAAATTAGCTGGGCATGTTGGCACATGCCTGTAGTCCCAGCTACTCGGGAGGCTGAGGCAGGAGAATTGCTTGAACCTGGGAGGCAGAGGTTGCAGTGAGCTGAGATCGAGCCACTGCACTACAGCCTGGGCAACAGAGTGAGACTCAGTCTCGAAAAAGAAAAGAAGAAAAAGTAAAAGAAAAAGAAAAGAAAATTTGAAGCTTTATTCCTAAAGAAATCACTGTTGTCATCTACTTAGCTTCATCTTTTGAATTCCTTTCTACTGACAACTTTAGTTTTTACCTAAATGGTTGAATTCCAAGGACGGAGCTAGATGCGTATATTAGAGAAACAGAAAAGGAGGGACTGAGACCATCAGGATGCTACATGAGCTGGCAGCTCCAGAACATGCTTTCATGGCTGCAATGCTCCAGAACATGCTTTCATTGACGGTAATGGTTAATATTAGGTGTCAACCTGACTGGAGGGATGCCTAGATAGATGGCTGGGGAAGTATTGTTTCTGGGTGTTGTGAGGGTGTTGCCACAGAAGATAGAAATTTGAGTTGGTGGACTGGGAGAGGAAGACCCACCCTCAATGTGGGTGGGCACAATCTAATTGGCTGCCAGTGTAGCTAGAACAAAGCAGGTGGAAGAAGGTGGAATAAATTTGCTTGCTGAGTTTTCTGGCTCTCTTTTTTCTTCCCATGTGGACATTTGCTTCCTCTTCTCCGGCCCTTGAACAGGTTATTTGGGACTTGCACCAAGAGGCTTCCTGGGGTCCCTTAGGTCTTCAGCTGCAGACTGAAGGCTGTACTGTCAGCTTCCCTGGTTTTGAGGCTTTTGGACTTGGACTGAGCCTCTACTGGCTCCTCTCTTTCTCCAGCTTGCAGACAGCCTATCATGCATGGGACTTCACCTTGTAATCATGTAAGCCAATTCTCCTTAATAAAGTCCCTTTTATATATACATATATCCTATTGGTTCTCTCCCACTGGAGAACCCTAATAATACACTGACCAACTAGGCAAGCTACTTCCACACCCTAGAAAAAACAGCTCCTCCTTATTGCTTCAGAGGCTTGGCTGCTGTGGCCAATTTCCCCAGAGATAGGCAAGAGAAAGAGAAGAAAGGTTGCAAGTTAGGGCATAATTAAGGCAAAACATGGCAAATTCAAAAGAGGTTTGAAAAAATTAAAAAGGAACAGGAGTAGGAGAAAATATTTGCAAATCATATGTTTGATAAGGGACTTCTATCCAAAATATGTGAAGAACTCTTACAACTCAACAACAAAAAGACAAATAACCCAATTTAAAAATGAGCGGAGGATTTGAATAGATATTACGGTAGTCCCTCCTTAGCCACTGTTTTGCTTTCTGTGGTTTCAGTTACCTGCTGTACAATACAATAAAATATTTTGAGAGATCATATTTACATATCTTTAATTACAGTATATGGTTATAATTGTTTTATTTTATTATGTTGTTAATCTCTTACTGTGCCTAATTTATAAATTAAACATTGGCTGGGCACAGTGGTTCACACCTGCAATCCCAGTGCCTCGGGAGACCAAGGCATAAGGATCACTTGAGCCCAGAAGTTGAAGACCAGCCTGGGCAACACAGCTCTTGTCTCTACAAAAAACTAAAAAATAGAAACTTAGCCAGGTGTGGTGGTGCATGCCTATAGTCCAAGCTACTCAGGAAGCTGAGGTAGAAGGACTGCTTGAGCCCAGGATTCAAGGCTGCAGTGAACCACTGCATTCCAGCCTGCAGGACAGAGTGAGATCCTGTCTCTAAAATTAACAAATTAAACCTTATCATATGTATGTATAGGAAAAAACATAGTATATGTGAAGTTTGGTACTATCCATGGTTTCAGGTACCCATTTGGGGTCTGGGAATGTATCCCCTATGTTTAAGAGGAGACTACTAAACTCCAAAGAAGATATAAAAATGGCCAATAAGCACATGAAAAGATACTCAACATCATTAGTTACTAAGGAAATGCAAATCAAAATCACAAGTTAGCACTTCACACCCACTAGGATGGCTATAATAAAAAAAGACAGACAATAAGTGTTGGCAAAGATGGGGGGAAAATGAAACCCTCATACACTGCTGATGGGAAGGTAAAATAGCACAACCACTTTAAAAAACAGTCTGGCGGTTTCTCAAAATGTTAAACAACGTTACCATATGACCTAGCGGTTCCATTCCTAAGTGCATACCCAAAAAAGCTGAAAACTTATGTTCACACAAGAACTTGTACATGAATGTTCACAGCTGCATTATTCATAATAGCCAAAAGTAACGATCCATGCTACAACATGGATGAACCTTAAGAACATTAAGCTAAATAAAAGAATCCAGACACAGTAGGCCACATATGATAGGAATCCATTGGTATGAAATGTCCAGACAAATCTACAGAAAGTAAATTCATGGTTGCTACAGGCTGGTGGAAAAGGGAATAGGGAGTAATCCCTAATGGGTATGGGATTTCCTTTTGAGGTGATGAAAATGTTCTGGAATTAGGTAGTGGTGATGGTTGTGTGATCTAGTGACTATATTAAATACCACTTAATTGTATACTTTAAGATGGCTTTATGTTATATTAATTATATCTGAATTTAAAAATATTTGTTACTAAAAACAAAGGAACAAGAATTTGTTGTCAAGCCACTGAGGGGAAATGGTATGAAAGTAGGGCTGAATGAGAAGGCTGCAAGAGTACAACGGCAGTGTATCCTTGTCTCTATGTCACTTAGAATAGTAAAAGGAAGTGGAGGCAAGCTGTGTAAGCAGAGGGAAGAGCCATGGGTAGCTGGTAAAAGATAAAATTTGGAAATAAAAAAAATTTTTTTTCTCAACCAAAAGTGAGAATAGGCGAGAATGGGTATGGACCTCTCCTTTTCTAGAGATTTTTAGGCAAGAAAACCCCCCTCATTCCTCTTCACAACTCAACTGCCCAGAATGCAAAAGGACAAGCTTCCTTACTCTACATCCTGTTCATTCATCCTGCCAACAGATATTTATGGAGTACTTTTTATGTGCATAAGATAGTTACCTCATCCTTCTCTCCCTCTGAGGATAAGTGAAACTCCAGCTCCTCATTCTTCTACATCTTAAAAAGAATGTCTTCGCTTTCTCTTATCTCTCAGGAGCCCAATCACATCTAGTGGGTTCAGGGTTGATTTGGGAAGCATGGGAACAAAATGCAGGACGTAAAACAGGTTTTAGAGAGGTGATGTCTTTTGATTGGGACAAGCTGAATTTGAGATGCTGATGGGACAAGTGAGTGTCCAAGAAGTAGTTAGAAATATGGGTTTAGGGTCTGGGCTGGATAAGAGAGCAACCCACATATAGGTGATAGGTGACATAATAAATGATATTTCAAAAGAAAAATGTATAGATTTATATGAAAAGAGCATTGAGGAAAGAACTCTGGAAAGAACAACATTTAAGAAATGAGCAAACAGAGAAATCAGAAAAGAGACTGAAGACAGATCAAAGAGGAGAGTTGGAGATGGTTTCTTAGATGTCAAAACAGGAGGGACTGTGCAGAAGTGTCAAATACTGCAAAGAGGTCCAATAAGATAAACACTGAAAAGCAACCACTAAGTTATCAGTTAGGAGCTCACTGATGACCTTCACAAATACAGTTTTAATGAAATGACAATGGGATCTCTGACGCAGACTTTTCTCAAGTATATTCCTTGGAAAACTAGTCCCACAGAATGTGTCTCTAAAAGAGTGTTTCATGGTCAAATAAGTCTGCAATAAAGCTGTGCATATTATATTCCCTTCTTAAAGAATCACAATAAGCCTAAGTATACTGAAGTTTCTGAGAAGTCCTAAGATATAAGGCAATCTATTGGCTTTGTGCTCTGTTGAATTCTGTGTTTCCCAAATTTCTTTGACATAGAACCGTGTATAATATGATACCTATTAATGACTCTAGAAACTGGAGTCCTGTGGAACATGCTTTGGAAAGTAGGGTTCTAAGATTAGTGTTAAAAAGACAAGCTCTGAAGTTAAATAGATCTAGATTTGAATCCTGGTCCTAAATCTTACTAGCTGGGTGATCCTGAACAAGTTTCTATCTTTCTAAACACTCAGTTGCTTAATCAATAAAGTGGGCCTAATAACATAAGCCTAATTCACAGAATTATTATTATGAATTCATTAGGTAATGCATGTAAAGATATAGTGCCTACACATAGTAGTATTCAATAAATGTGGTTACTATAATGATATTATTATTATGGCAAGAGTTGAGATTAAAAAGGAAAACTGTGATGCAGGTACTAAAATTTTCAATGAATAAATGGGGAATTATGGGAAAGTTGTAATCTAATTGCAACAAGGAAGGTGGCTGTAGAAACAGGTTAGGCAAGGATCTAGTAATGGCTTGGAAGTGGCAGAGGAAGCCAGAGAAAACCAAACCTCACTTCTGACCCAGTAATGCATGGGGCATATAAAAGGCATAGTCTCTACCAAAGAGGGCTTCAAGGAACAGCCAGGTCCAGTCAAGGTCAGAAGGTAGAGAATATGTTGGTTCTGGTCTCAGATATCAGGTAAAGGCACTGCAGTTTCTCAGAAGGCGAAAACAGTCTGTTGAGAACAAGGGTTGTCTCACAGCATTCAGAGGAGCAGCTAGGGCCAGGGAAGGTCACTCTGGTTTGTGAAGCAATAGTAAGGCCTGTTCTTGGGTAGGGCTTACCATGAAGTTTGAAGAGGGGTCTCAAAAGCTGTGGCTAAGATAAGTCTTGAAGTATTCAGGCTTATGTACAGGATTTGCATTGCAACTACATTAGAAACAACCTAAAGATCCATCAATGGGGGCAGAGTATATAAATTATAACACATCTACAGAAAGAAATACTATATAACTATTTACAAAGCAGTAGCCCTATTTATACTAACAGAAAAACTATGCAGCTGTTAATAGAGTATGAACTCTATTTATACTAATAAGGAAAAAAATCTCCGAGATAGAGCAATAAATGAAAAAAGCAAGGTGTAGGACAATGTGTGTAATACACACATACAAGTTTTGGGGCACACACATGCTCATAAATGGATGGATTAACTCTGGACTGATCCATGAGACACAAATAATAAGATGGGGGAAAAGGAGATGAGGGGGCCTGGGAATCTGAAGTAGGAAAACTGTGCATTATATATTTATAAATATATATCTATATATAATATCCTTTTCAATTTTATATTTTACATTTATTACTTATTCAAAACATTCTTCAGTTTTTTTTAGAAATGTTAGAATGGCAATGGTTAGGGAGAGGGATGAAAAGTTGTGAGAAAAAGGAGGGATCGGAAATTGGTAGTCTCCATGAGGGCAAAGAGTTGAGAAGTTAAGATAGGCAGACATGATCAGAAAAAATTCCAGAGTTTAAGATTATGGAAAGAGTATTTCCCTGGTGCAAAGTCTGAATGGTGCAGTTCTCAAAAGCCCTCTCCTTAAGCCTCATTATTTTTCCCCTAGGGACCCATTTTTGAGGCTTCAATTATAGAACAAGAAGGAAGTCACTTTTCTTGGGAGGGAGTAACAAGTGAGAACGGAACTTTGCAGAAGAGTTTCGATTCGTTCTCTGTCTTAATGATCGCCCCTAAGAAAATGCTGATCTACCTCTCAGGCTGGCAGCTGTAATCCTACCTCTCCTGAGACTGCTCCATTTAAACCCAGGCCTTCTCATCTATTTGCTGTTCTGTCTCTGCTTACCAAGGCTCTCCTTCCTCAGCTTTCTTCAACAACCCAAGAGCTCCTGTCAAGCCTTCTTCCTGGCCTATCTCCATGCCTTCTCCTGAACTGTCCCTTCCACCTGGAACACCCACCCACCCGCTGCCACCGCAATCTCCGTTTCTAGAGCTAAAGTCTCACCTCCTCCCCCAGATTTTTCTGCAGCTAAGCCAAATAAGGTACAGATTCATATCCACTCCCACCCACACTACCAACATTACTGCCTCATCAGCAATAGCAATGTCATCAAACACTTATTAAGTACATATGGCCATGTACTCAGCCAGCCCAGAAGACACAGAGATGACTCTATATAACCTCTTCCCTCAAGTGACTGACAATCTTATAGGAATAGCATAAGTGTAACTAGGTTTCTATGATTCTCAAAGTCTCTTTGATGTAATATTAGCTGAAGAAGTATAAGTGACCTATAAACTTATGAGATATATTCAAATCACAGATAATCAAAGAAATGCAAATTAAACAATGGTATACCATTCTTCTGTCAAATTGGCAAAAATTTTCTAAAATAAGAATACTTAATGTTGGTACAGCACACTCAAATACTGAAAGTACAAACCGGAAAAGCTTTTCTGAAAATAAATTAAGAAGTTTGACAGAAGTCTTAAAATATATATATACCCCTGAAGCCGAGTGTGATGGCTCATACCAGTAATCATGGCATTGCAGGAGGCCCAGACAGGACGATCACCTGAGGCTAAGAGTTCAAGACCAGCCTAGGCAATGTAGTGAGACCTGGTCTCTATTTTAAAAAATAAAATTAAAAATAAAAAATAAAATTTAAATTTAAAAACTTATACCCTTCAACTCAGTAATTTAATCTATTTTAAGTTAAAGAAATAATCAGAAATGAAAACAGATGTATGCACAATGATGCTCATCACAGCGTTATTCATAATAGTAACAAGAGGAGCCAGGTATGAGGGCTCATGCCTGTAATCCCAGCATTTTGGGAGGTTGAGACAGGAAAATTGCTTGAGCCCAGGAGTTCAAGATCAGGCTGGGCAACATAGGAAGACTCCATCTCTACAAGAAATAAATCAGCCGGGCATGGTGGCACACGCCTGTAGTCCCAGCTACTTGGGAGGCTGAGGTGGGAGGATCACTTGAGCCTGGAAGGTCAAGGCTGCAGTGAGCTGTGCTTGTACCACTGCACTCCAGCCCAGGCAAGACGCTGTCTCAAAAGAAAAGAAGAAAAAAGAAAAGAAAGAAACAAGAGGAATATTATAAAATACCTATATAAGAGAATATTAATCTATTAAGTCATTAAATCATGTTTTCAAAAATATTTAATAACCCAGAATAAAGTTCACAAAAACAAAGTGAGAAAAAAAATGTTTAAATCCACACATATTATGATCTAAATTCAGTAAATTTATGTTCATGTATATAAAGCTTATATAAGAAAATATAGCTAATGTTAATAGTTAATATTCTGCTATTATTGACTTTAAGTGCTGGGCCTTGGGAATAATTAAAAATAGTATTAATTAGAAGATAAAGAAGCACATGGAGACTTCTGTGGAAATAATGCGGGGCATCTCTGGCTGGTTAAGCATCCACAAAAGGTTAGCTAAACACACTTTGCCAGATTCCATACTGGGCTCTTGAATATCAGCCTTAAAAAGCTTAGCCTGACATTAAAGGATCTTACAAGAAGTACACAGAAAAGTAAGACATAGCAGTAAACAAGTAACTCCATTACATCATCATGCAGTAGAAAAAAATATGCAAAGAGTCTAGAAACTTTACCCCAAAACTGACAGCTGACTGGGTTTTAAAAGATGTGAATGAAAAGTTAGCTAAGTGAATTAAGAGAAAGAGCATTCTAAGCATGGGAAACAGCAAATATAAAGTCTCTGAGAATTTTTGAAATATAAATAATTCTATATGTTGGAAGCATTTCACCTAAACAGGATAGCAAAAAGAGCCTAGCAGATAAGTGAAAATCCAAAAGTTTGATACATTACTGATGGGTTAGGAAAGAGAAAACCACTCTTAAGACATTACTAGTGGGAGTATAAATTGGTACACTCCCTATGGGAAGCATATACTTTTGGGGGTAGGCATTAAAGCCATTGACAAATATCCTTCTCTATCTCTTTAAAAGTATGTCATACTGCTCCACTTTAATTAAAACAGAGCTAGCATTCAACCCAGCAATCCCATTACTGGGTATATAATGAAAAGAAAACAAATTGTTCTACCAAAAAAACACATACCCTCATATATTCATCGCAGCATTATTCACAATAGCAGAGACATCAAATCAACCTAGGTACCCATCAACAGTGGACTGGATAAAGAAAATGTGGTACATATGCATCATGGAATACTATGCAGCCATAAAAAACAGTGAAATGTCCTTTGCAACAACATGGATGCAGTTGGAGGCCATAATTTTAAGCAAATTAATGCAGGAACAGAAAACCATATATTGCATATTCTCATTTATAAATGGGAGCTAGGGGCCAGGCCTATAATCATGCCTGTAATCCCAGCACTTTGGGAGTCTGAGACAAGAGGATTGCTTGAGGCCAGGAGTTCAAGACCAGCCTAGGAAACATAATGAGACCCTATCTCTACACAAGAATTTTTTAATTTGCTGGGCATAAGTGGCACATGCCTGTGGTCCCAGCTACTTGGGAGGCTGAGGTGAAGGGTTGCTTGAGCCCAGGAGTTAAGGTTGCAGTGAGCTGTGATCATGCCCGTGCACTCCAGCCTGGGTGACAGAGTGAGACCCCATCTCAAAAAAATAAAATTAAAAAAAAAAGTTTTAAAAAATGAGTGGCATCTAAACATTGGGTACTCATAAATATGGGAACAATAGACACTGTAGACTACTAGAGGGAGGAAGGAGGAAGATGGCAGGGATTGAAAAACTACCTGAGTACTATGTTCACTACATGGGTGACAGGATCTATACCCCAAATCTCAGCATCATGCAAAATACCTATGTAACAAACCTGCACAGGTATCCCCTGTATCTAATTTTTTTTTTTTTTTTTTTTTTTTTTTTTTTTTTGAGATAGGGTCTCACTCTGTCACCTAGGTTGGAGTGCAGTGGCATGAGCTTGGCCCACTGCAACCTCTGCTTCCCGGGTTCAGGCAATTCTCCTGCCTCAGCCTCCCAAGTAGCTGGGATTACAGGTATGCACCACCACACCCGGCTAATTTTTGTATTTTTGGTAAGGATGAGGGTTTCACCATGTTGGCCAGGCTGGTCTCAAACTCCTGCTGGGATTACAGGCATAAGCCACTGCACTCAGCCCTCTGTATCTAAAATATTAATAGAAGTTGAAATTATTTTTAAAAAGTTAAGTTTGGTTTCATGATTTCCTTTAGCTAGGAAAATATGAGCAAAAGCAACATATGTATTAATAACTTCTGGGTAGAAGTTTTAAGAGCCAAAGTACAACTTGCTATATTTTCTTTCACTTGTTATCTTTCCCTTCCTTTTACCATTGTGACTGGCAGTGTTCCAGGTGTTGGTTGCTCCATCAGCCTGGATTGCAGAGAGAAGACAACTTTAAAGCAAAACTCCTTGATGTGGAATACGAGCAAGAAACAAGCCCTTGTTATTTTAAGCCATAGACAAATGGATGGCAATTTGGCAATATTTATCAAAATTATAAATGCATATCCCCTTGGTATACCTGCACACATGCAAAATGACATATGTACAAGGTTATTCATTTGTAACATGGTTAACAGCAAATGACTGGAAACAACCAAATGAACATCAACAAAGGACTAAATACTTGCAGAACAAATATTTCATTCAATGGAATATTACGCAGCTATAAAAAAGAATGAAAAATTTTCTTAGAGCTGATATGGAAGGATCTCCAAATACAAAATCAAGAAATGCTTGGTATGTATAATATACCATCTTTTGTATAAAAACGGGTAAAGAAGCATTAGTATATTCATATTTGCTTGTACTTGTAGACAGATATTCTAGAACGATAAATAGGAAACTAACAAGATTATCTTGAGTGGAGGGTGAAGGAGTGATTGGGGTGGCGGGGCGGCAGCGGGGCAAAAAAATCCTTGGTGTTGTGCTTAACTTCTTTCTCTCACATAACTTCAACCAATATGTTACTAAATCTCATCTTAAGTACAAATGGTACATTTCTGCTTCAATCTTAAACTGTTATCAGAACCCTCTTTAAACTCTGGCTTCTTGTTCTCCTCTTGGACATTTCTAATCAGTTGCCAGTTACTTTACCTGTGTTAAGAATATCTTTACTATTGTTCTCTTATTCAATTAAGTTCTTAGTTACTCTTAGGTAAACCATGCCTCTGTCTGTATGATTCCAAGCTTTGGCAACTGTTTTCAGCTAGTCTTTTTGAGAGACTGAATTATTATACTTCTGAAAAAGAAAAGGCCATAACTTAAACTGTGTCTTCTCCAATATATTCTTATTTTTCTAATTCAGAGCTTTCCTTTTACATGGATAAGGCTAATTACTTTGCTTTGCTTTATAGGAAGAATTACAAGACCCTTACTTTTAAAAAACTTAGAAATAAAAAATCAGTAAGTATTATGACATTCATTCCATAAATGTTCATTTTAAATGCTTGTTTAGGCCAGGCGTGGTGGCTCATGCCTGTAATCCCAGCATTTTGGGAGGCTGAGCCAGGTGGATCACTTGAGGTCAGGAGTTTGAGACCAGCCTGGCCAACATGGTAAAACCCCATCTCTACTAAAAATTAAAAAAAAAAAAAAAAAAAATTAGCCAGGCATGGTGGCCCACGCCTGTAGTCCCAGCTACTAGGGAGGCTGAGACATGAGAACTGCTTGAACCTGGGAGGCGGAGATTACAATCAGCCGAGATCATACCACTGCATTCCAGCCTGGGCAACAGAGTGAGGCTCTGTCTTAAAAAAAAAAAAAAAAAAAAAAGCTTCTTTAGCCAGATGCAGTGGCTCACGCCTATAATCCCAGCACTTTAGGAGGCTGAGATAGGAGGATCGCTTGAGCTCAGAAGTTCAGAAGTTCAAGACCAGCCTGGGCAACACAGTGAAATTCCATCTCTACAAAGCATTAAAAAAAATCAGCTGGGTGTGGTAGTGCGTACCTATAGTCCTAGCTACAAGGGAGGCTGAGGTGGGAGGATCACTTGAGCCCAGGAGGTTGACGCTGCAGTGAGCTATGATCATGCCACTGCACTCCAGCCTAAGCGACAGAGTAAGACCCTGTCTCAATAAATAAATAAACAAACATTTGTTTGCCTCACGTCAGTCTATATCAACAGACTCCCAGTGTTTGCAGTTAGGCAGCCCTATCCATGGAAAATTTTTTTAGCATGAACCTCTCAACATATGTACGCTTATTCATTTAAAAATTATATAGATGTATAACTGCATTAATATATATTATAAAAATTAAAATGTGAAAAGCATAACAAATTTAAAAGTTTTTTAATGTTTATTAACAAAAATTTTTTTGCTGTAACTAAAAATATTCACAGTGATACTTTTTTTTAAAACAATGTGATATAATGTGCCTAATTGTTTCCTAAATCTTATTTTAATATTTTGTTATAGAATGACTTTAAGGTCTGATTGTACATTCAATTACTTCAATACATGGTTTTCATAGCTGTCACAGCCGAAAAAGATAATGATATATCAAATCTAATGAAAGAAGAGCAATTGGTTCCAACATACTAATTATTCAGAGATTTTGTTAAACTTTGGCTAGTAATTTTTCCTCTTCTCTGATGTCAGTCAGCCGTTCTTGCAAAATTGTGAGAAATATTTTCATATTTTTAACAAGTAAGTTCAAAACTCATTGAAAATCTTCATTAGAAATATTTTTAATATGTTAATAGTCTCTTTCCAAGATTTTAGAGCATGCAATTATGAGTTTTTATCAGTAACATTGTTTCTGATAAAAGAACACACACACGCACATCTATATACAAATAATAGCATTTTCAAATATCTGTATTCACAATACCTTTTCCAAGCAGCTATCTTTTCAATAATTACTAAAACATTATCTTCTCCCTGAAGGGTCAAATTAAGAGTGCTCATATGAAGCCAGAACGATTTGAGCACCAAAATAAATGACAATAATGGATTATAACTCATGTAATAAATTAGAAATGTAAGAGTCATAATGCAATATTGACATAAATAAATTAATGAGAGAAAAGGGAAATCTCTTCCTAAAAATAGAGTGCCAACTAATTAATTAATATAGAAAGAATAATAGAAACAGAAAGTTACCAATTGGCAACCATCATTAGTGGTGGTAGATTCAGATAGGAGACGGCTACTTAGCTGGTAGGTAGAGATTTGATAAGGAACAAAATACCAGCATATCCTCAGAGTACTGCACCACAAGGCACTTAACAATTACAGAGGGAAGAAATGGTACCTTGACAGTGGAGAAACCTGGCCAATGCAAACTTAACCAAGTCATCAAGGCTGACATTATAAATGGTAGGACATGTTGACATCAGGTACTTTCTGACGCAATGCTCTGAAAAGAGCACAGCATCATTTTTTTTGTGTAATTCCTGCCATGAAAGGATGGCCTCAGTCCGGACATGAGGAAACACTGAATGGACCCAAACTGAAGAACATGCTACAAAATGAAAAGCCTATACCATTTAAAACTGCTAAGGATGGGAAACACCGAACGAAGCTAAAGAGATATCACGACTAAATGCAACATGTCATTCTGGATTGGATTCTGGATTAGAAAGGAAAAAGAGACATTGTTGGGATGGTTGGCAAAATATGGATAGGGTCTTGATAATAGTGTTGTTATTGTTGTTTGGCAGATTTGAATGGTTATATCATGGTTATACAGAACTGTAGCCTTGTTTATAGGGAAATACAAAGGAAGATTTAGGAATGACAGAATATCATGTCTCCAATTTTCTCTCAAATGATTCAGAAAAAGATTGATCATAATGGAGGGAAGGCAATGAAGTAAATGTGAAATGTGAATAGTTGGAGCATCTGGGTGAGGAGACATAGTAGTTCTTTACTGTTTTTGCAACTTTTCCTTAAGTTTGAAATTGCTTCAAAATAAATTAATTTTTAAAGTATATGTGCACATATGTGAGCATGATTGTGCTTTTAATATCTGCCAGATATTATACTACTGACAGCCAATTGTCATTAAACATGTAACTTCAATAAATCATTATATCAAAAAGATACCTGCACCCATATGTTTATTGCAGCACTATTCACAGTAGCAAAAATATTATGGGCTGAGTATAGTGGCTCACACCTGTACTCTCAGCACTTTGGAAGGCCAAAGTGGGAGGATCACTTCAGGCCAGGAGTTCAAGACCAGCCTGGGCAATACAGCAAGACCCTGCATCTACAAAAAAAAAAAAAAAAAATTTTTTTTAAATTAGCCAGGCATGGTGGTGCATGCCTGTAGACCCTGCTACTAAAGAGGCACAGGTAGGAGGATTGCTTGAGCCTAGGAGTTCAAAGCTGCAATGATCACACCACTGCACTCCAGCTGGGCAAAGGAGCAAGACCTGAACTCAAAAAAAAAAAAAAAAAAAAAAAAAAAAGATACGGAATCAACCTAAGTGTCCATCAACAGATGTTTGGCTTTTAAAAATGTGGTGTATATATATATATATACACACCATGGGATACTGCATGGTCTCACTTATAAGTGGGAGCTAAATAATGTGTACGCATGGATTTAGAGTGTGGAATAATAGACACTGGAGACTTAGAAGGGTGGAAGCGGGTAAGGAAAGAGAAATAACTTAATGGGTATAATGTACACTATTCAGATGATGGCTACACCCAAAGCCCAGACTTCACCACTATGCAACATATCCATGTATCAAAACTGCACGGGTACCTCCTAAATTTATATGGAAAAAAAAGTACCTTCTGCCTAAAGACTGCCTACCTCCTAACACACAGATAAAGACACTTCAAACTTGTAACACTGAAAATGAAAAATATTTATCTTTGTTTTTACATTTTTTTGACGTTGTTTCAGATCTTAGTGTGCTGATACTTTGGGACTTAAACTGGCAAATTCCATAGATATTTTTGTACCCTGTTTTGGCCCTACAGATGAGCCAGTATGGACCGGCTAGGTAAGGGAGACAACTATCCTCAGGGGCTTGAAATCATTTCTTGCCCTAAACTCGCCCTAAACTCAAACGGCTTCAAAGAGACAATGAACAGTACTTGAAAATAAGCATCTAACTTTACAGTCAGGCTCTCAGCCCACTAGGTCTATTTGATTTCCATTAATCAGCACAGAAGAAAGCCACTGGCCACTTCCCATCCCTTAAAGCTCTGGCTTAATTGTCATGCATTCCCAGAAGCACACTGTAAGAAGATGACTAATCACTGATTGCTTCTCCAGCACCATATGTCTCCCAATTTCAAAGGAAAAATTGTCCCAACCAGTACTAGAACAGATTTCCTACCTCCTGCAGCTGGAGTCGAACCTTGGTAACTGCTCGGATCCAATGTGCTCTGGCTTGGGTAAATGGTGAAGATGCATTCTCCTCAGGAAAACTTGTAACAGAGAAAAAGTACATTTCTTAAAAATAGCCAAGGCCACAAGGTGACACTGCTCAAGGCAAGACTGCCAAATGTCTAAAATAAAATGGTTTGTACTCATGCCTACACTTATTTAGTGATTCAGGCTACTAAAACAGCATAGTACTTGAATATCCAATGTGAAAACAATTCCTCTCTAAAACGATAACTCCTTTTAGCTTCTCATCTGTTCCCTCTTTTATTTATTTATTTATTTATTTATTTATTTATTTATTTATTTATTTATTTTGAGACAGGGTCTCACCCTGTTGCCTCGGCTGAAGTGCTGTGGCATGATCACGGCTCACTGCAGCCTTAATCTCCTGGGCTCAGGCAATCCTCCCACCTCAGCCTTCCAAATAGCTGGGACTACAGGTGCGTGCCACCACACCCAGCTAATTTCTGTACTTTTTGTAGAGACGATGTTTCGCCATGTTGCCCAGGCTTGTCTTGAACTCCTGAGCACAAGCAATCTGCTCACCTCGGCCTCCCAAAGTGCTGGGATTACAGGCGTGAGCCACTGCGCCTCATCTGTTCCTTCTTTTCCTTCTTTTTCATTTACCCAATGAGCAGCATAGTACTGAATACTCAATGTGAAAATAATTCATCTCTAAAATGACAATTCCTTTTAGCTTTTCATCTGTTCCCTCTTTTCCTACTCGTTTTTGTCATTTACCCAATGTGGTAGCTCCCTGGAACAGTCTGGGATCAGGACTCTAGAGGCAATGGCGAGAGCCCTGAGTCAATACGTAGTATAGAAACCATGCAGAGAGGGGTGGAATAAGCCTTTCAACCCCTCTCACTGCACTTCTTAAAACGATCAGTTCCCTTGGGGCTTTTGCAT